>NC_000010.11:80900671-81052186 GCF_000001405.40 Homo sapiens
GATTTGCCACCATGTACCCCACATAAGGAACATTCAATCCAGTATACCCAGTTCTGTTATATCTTGCTATGGAATGCAAACAAGATTTTATTCATGAAAGTGTTTGGGTATCGATGTTCAGCACAGCCTGCCTTGGCTTGCCCACTGTTGTTATTTGAAACTCTGCCAGTACTTTAACCCTCCAGTCCTAGTGAAGGTGTTCAGAGATGCTGCCAGATGGGCATTAACCATCTAATTAATCATTAACCATTAGATGGTTGTGTGGGAGGTGCCAGCTGGCTTTGGGCTGGAAGACCTTTGATCTCTTTTTGCCATTTGAAGCAATGCATCTGCATCTTCTCTAACACCAGGATGGTTCCCTGGGTTTGTTCATCTGGCCATTATGTGTGTCCAGATGTGAAATTTGGAGAAAAGCTTGCCAAAGTGTTTTTACTATCTTTATAGTGGCAGCATTTTGTAACGTGTGGGGAAAGCAGTATTAAATTGACTTTCTTTAATTCTGTGTATGATGGAGCAGAGATGAAGACACCTCAGTCTTTGATGATGTCCTGTAACTCCTGACTTGATCTATATGGAAGCCATCTCTACCTCTGTACTGATACAAATACACAAGACAGTACCTCAAATAACTAGAGTGGCTTTGAGTTAAATTTTTTCTTACATACTACCAAATGCATGGACAATGGCATGTATGTATTTGTAAAGCTTGTACTTTTGTGGATTTCCAGTAGATGACAGAGTGAGTTCCCATAACCCTCCCTGTCCCTTGTGAAAACATCTAGCAAGTAAGATAAAAGATAAAAAATGGTTAACAGCTGTTAAACATCTCCATGAACAAGAAGCAGACAGTGGACTTTCTATCTGCTTATGGATAAACATAATGGAAAATGAATAAATCTCCATGGGCTAGAAGCACCAGCTTTCAAATGGGTTCTGAAGCCGAAGGCCTACTGGAGTTTGGGAATGGAAACAGAAGGTGACAGCAAGGATATTACCCTTATAGGAAATAAACATAAAAGTGTAGGAGATGAATAAAAAATAGCACATGTAGGCCGGGTGCGGTGGCCCATGCCTGTAATCCCAGCATTTTGGGAGGCCGAGGCAGGCGGATCACGAGGTCAGGAGATCGAGACCATCCTGTCTAACACGGTGAAACGCCGTCTCTACTAAAAAAAAAAACACACACACACACACAAAAATTAGCCCCGCGGTGGTGGGCGCCTGTAGTCCCAGCTACTCAGGAGGCTGAGGCAGGAGAATGGTGTGAACCCGGGAGGCGGAGCTTGCAGTGAGGCGAGATCGCGCCAGTGCAGTCCCGCCTGGGCGAAAGAGCGAGACACCGTCTCAAAAAAAAAAAAAAAAAGCACGTGTATGACATTGGAGTGGAGCCAGAGACCATATGAAATGGGGGTGGGGTGAGGAATGGGGTCTGCGCCCCAAGAATGATTGAAGGCTGAAAGAATCTTCAGATGCATTCAGAACCTGAAGCCGCTAGAGAACTTTCATCAAGGATGGCTGGATTGAACAGAAGCAGCTGCAAACCAGGAAATAGACCAAGCCTAGTGCTGCCTCAGGCCACAGATCATTGCTATATCCTGTCTCAGGATTCCTGAGATCACTGCTGGCCTGTATTTAGGCACCTGCAATTCCATGAAATAGGTAGGGGTGAACACAGAAAGAAGATATTCACATTTTAAAACGTTCACTCAATGTGAATTTGCATATGAAACTTTCAAAGAATATGAAGAAACATAAGCAATATATTTAACAAATTCAACCAGCCTGAAAATCATCTCCCAAGAAAATGAAAATTTTAAAAATTCTGAAAAATTACTTTTAAAACATCTTCTTTAAGACAGTATATGTTATTCAAATGTTTAATCTAATATATACAATTCATAGAAAGAATAGAACATTATGCAACAAAAATGGGTTGATACGAATTACATAAAAATGCATGTATAAAGATTTCAGAGTATAGAAATGTGCACAACTCAGGGGAATCCATGAAATCACTTCTATTTTTAATTCAAGTGGTTGTCCTCAAATACGAAGGGATATTCTTATATTTTTAAATTTTAATTTTGAAAATTTTTAATTTTCGTGGCTACATAGTAGACGTATATATTTATGGGTTACATGAGTTATTTTGATATAGGCATGCAATGTGTAATAATCACATCAGGGTAAATGGAGTAGCCAGCACCTCAAGCATTTATCCTTTGTGTTGCAAACAATCCAATTGTATTATTTTAGTTATTTTTAAATGTATAATTAAATTACTTTATAGTCATCCTGTTATGTTAGCAAATACTGGGTCTTATTCATTCTTTCTATTTTTCGTAACCATTAACCCTGTCCACTTCCCTCCTAACCCCCCACTACCCCTCCCAGCCTCTGGTGACCATCCTTCTATTCTCTATCTTCATGAGTTCAATTATTTTAATTTTTAGCTCCCACAAATAAGTGAGAACATATGAAGTTTGTCTTTCTGTGCCTGGCTTACTTTACTTTACACAATGAACTCCAGTTCCATCTGTGTTGTTGCAAATGACAGTATCTCATTCTTTTTTATAGCTGAATAATACTTCATTGTGTGTATCTACCACATTTTCTTTATCCATTAATTTGTTGATGGACATGTAGGTTATTTCCAAATCTTGGCTATTGTGAATAGTGCTGCAATAAACATGGGAGTGCAAATAACTCTTCAATATACTAGTTTCTTTCTTTTGGGCATATACCTAGGAGTGGTATTTCTGGATCATATGGTAGCTCTATTTTTAGTATTTTGAGGAACCTCCAAATTGTTTTCCATAGTGGTTTTACTAACTAACTTATATTTCCACCTACAGTGTACATGAGAATTTCCTTTTCTCCACATCCTCATCAGCATTCGTTATTGCCTGACTCTTGGATAAAAGCCATTTTAATTGGGGTGAGGTGATATCTCATTGTGGTTTTGATTTGCATTTCTCTAATGATCAGTGATGTTGATCACCTTTTCATATATCTGTTGGCCATTTGTATGTCTTCTTTTGGCCATTTGTATGTCTTCAATGTTCTGGAGAGTTTCCCTAGTACTTTCTTGTAGTAGTTTCATAGCTTTCAGTCTTAGATATAGGTCTTTAATACATTTTGATTTTTGGATATGATGAGATATAGGGGTCTAGTTTCATTCTTTTACATATAAATATCCACTTTTCCCAGTGCCATTTATTAAAGAGGCTGTCCTTTCCCCAAGGTGTGTTCTTGGCACCTTTGTCGAAAATGGGTTTACTGTAGATGTATGGATTTATCTCTGGGTTCTCTATTCTGTTTCACTCATCTATGTTTCAGTTCTTATGGCAGTACCATGCTGTTTTTGGTTACTGTAGCTCTGTAATATATTTTGAATTCAGGTCCAGTGACTCTTCCAGTTTTGTTCATTTTTTTCAGTATAGCTTTGGCTATTCTGGGTCATTGGCAGTTCCATATAAATTTTAGGATTGTTTTTTTCTATTTCTGTGGAGAATGTCATTGATATTTTGATAGAGATTGCATTACATCTGTAGATTGCTTTAGGTACTATGGACATTTTAGTAATGTTGATTCTTCAAATCCATGAACATGAGATATCTTTCCATTTTTTTGTGTCTTCTTCAGTTTTTTACATCAATGTTTTATGGTTTTCATTGTAGATATCTTTTATTTCTTTGGTCAATTCTTAGATATTTTATCTTATTTGCACCTATGGTAAATGGGATTGCTTTCTTGATTTCTTCTTCAGATTGTTTGCCATTGGCATGTAGAAATGCTACTGATTTTTGTATGTTGATTTTATATCCTGCAACTTTACTAAACTTGTTTTTCAGTTCTAATAGTTTTTTTGTAGAGTTTAGGTTTTTCCAAATATAAAATCATATATGCAAGCAAGGATAATTTGACTTCTTTCTTTCCAATTTGGATTCCTTTTATTTCTTTCTCTTGTCTGATTGCTCTAGCTAGGACTTCCAGTACTATGCTGAGTAACAGTGGTGAAAGTGGGCATACTTGTTGTGTTACCAATCTTAGAGGAAAGGCTTTCAGTTTCTCCCCATTTAGTGTGATACTAGCTATAGGTCTGTTGATATGGCTTTTATTATGTTGAAGTATGTTCCTTCTATACACAATTTTTATTAGGGTTTTCATCATGAAAGGGTGTTGAATTTTATAAAATGCTTTTTCAACATCAATTGAAATGATCACATGATTTTTATGTTTCATTCTGTTGATATGATGTATCAGATTAATTGGTTTGCCTATATTGACCATTCTTGCATCCCTGGGATAAATCCCACTTGGTCATGTTGAATGATTTTCTTAATATGTTGTTGAATTTGGTTTGCTAGTGTTTTGTTGAGGACTTTTGCATTGATACTAATCAGTAATATTGGCCTACAGTTTTCTTTTTTTGATGTGCCTCTGCCTCTGTCTAGTTATGGTATGGGGTAATGCCAGCCTCATAGAATGGGTTTGGAAGTATTCCCTTCTCCTCTATTTTTCAGAATAGTTTGAGTATTATTGGTATTAGTTCTTTAAATGTTTGGCAGAATTCAGCAATGAAGCCATCAGGTCCTGGGCTCTTCTTTTCTGGGACACTTTTTATTATAGCTTTAATCTCGTTACTTGCTATTAACCTATTCAGGTTTTGGATTTCTTCATGCATGGTTCAATCTTGGTAGATCGTACGTGTATAGGAATTTATCCATTTCTACTAGATTTCTCAATGTATTGGTCTGTAGTTGCTCATAGTAGCCACTAATAATCCTTTGAATTTCTGCAGTATTAATTGTAGTGTCTCCTTTCTTTATCTTTGATTTTATTTGAGCTTTCTCTCTTTTTCTCTTAGTCTTGCAAGGTTTCATCAATTTAGTTTATCTCTTCAAAAAAAAAACTATTTATTTCATTGATCTTTTGTATTATTTTCTTTATTTCAAATGCTCAGAGCTGGACATGGTAGCTAATGCCAATAATCCCAGTGCTTTCAGAGGCTGAGGTGGGAGTATCACTGGAGGCCAGGAGTTCTAGATCAGGCTGGGCAACATAGCAAGACTCCTATCTATACACACACACACACACACACACCCTAGCTAAGTGGCCCATAAGTAATATTTATTTTAAAAACACATTACTGGAATCAAGTTATTCATGTTTTTATTTATAATACTTGTTTATAAGATGTAAGCTCAGTCTATGACTGTCTTTTATTACCTTCCTTTATCAGTTTTTTTGTATTAGGGTTATATGAAGCTTCTAGAGTAAAATAGAGTAGAGTAGAATTTTTTAAACCATGTGTTTTTCAGAGATAAGGGAGTTTTTTTTTTATTACTTATTCCACTTCCTTGAATAATTTCTGGATTACTGAAGATTTTATGCTTTTCTTGAAATATAAAATGTTATTTTTATTAAAAATTTTCTATTTTGTTTGTTTCCAAACTTTTAATTATTCACAATATTATGCTATGTTTTTATATCTCACATACATATATCTAGTTAAGTACTTTTAAAATTTGTAATATAAATTATTTTTTACTGATATCTCTTTTTTCACTTATACTTGCCATATATTTATTTTATTAATGGTTTCAAAAACATTTTTCGTGTAATTGGGGAAATTTGAATATTTACAGTATATTAGTTGATTTACAGAATTATCCTTAATTAATTTAGCCATATTATAGTATTGTGGTTATGTAGGAGAATATGTTTTTGACCAAGAGATGTAAGCTTAAGTAGTGAGGGATGAAATATCACAATGTATTGAGGAGCAAGAGACAGAGAGTGATAGAGAGCAAGAGATTGAGAGAGCAAGAGAGCAAAAATGAGAGAATGAACAAATGAGGCAAATATTTACAGAGTTCAATGAAGAATCCAAACTTGTGTGTACTGAATTTGCAAGTCACTGGTACAATCTTACACTCCTATGACATTTATAAAAATCAAGGGTTTAATGCTGGGTGCAGCATCCTAGCACTATAGGAGGCTGAGGTGGGAGGATCACTTGAGCCCAGGAGTTCATGACCAGCGTGGGCAACATAGCAAGACCCTGTCTGTACAAAAGAATGATAAACAAATTAGCTAAGGGTGGTGGCATGTGACTGTAGTTCCAACTACTCCGGAGCCTGAGGCAGGAGGATTGCTTGAGCCCAGGAGTTCAAGACTAGCTTGGATAACATGGCAAGACTCTGTCTCTACAAAATAAATTAAATGATTAGCCAGGCACGGTGTTGCATGCCTATAATCCTAGCTACTTGAGAGGATCTCTTGAGCTCAGGAGGTCGAGGCTGCAGTGAACTGTCATTGTGCCACTGCACTCCAGCTTGGGTAACAGAGGCAAGAGCCTCTTTCTAAAGTTTTTTAAAAGGTGTTTAATATTAACTCAATGAATTTATCATTAAGGTAATCTTTGGCTGTTAGCAATGACTCCAAATAACAGTGATTTCAATAAGATAGTTTCATTTCTTCTCCATGTAAGTGACATCCCAGGGGTTAGTAATTTAGGGCCATTCTGGTTGCTCTCCTATTGCTCCTGTCTTCTTGCCTTATCACTTTCAACATCAGCCTTACACTGGACCATGGCTACTTTGGCTTCGGTATTCACATCCACATCCCAGGCAGTGTGACGGAGGAATAGGCAAAATTGGATGTGCCCTACTTTTAGGATGCTTCTTGAAGACAATTCTGCTCAGATCCAATGCATAGCTCTTAGTCATATGGCCCATGTGCCTACAGAAAAAGCTGACAAGTGTAATCTTAATTGTCATATAAAACGTATACCCAGTCAATAATCAGGTTTTATTACTAAGAAAGATGATGAGAACTAACACTGACACAAAAACTATCAGTTTTCTTCCAAGATTATAATGGGAATTTGAGGAGTAGCTTTTATAATTTCCTGTATGCTGTCATACCCCTGGCATTATTAGTAATAAAGCATTTTAAGAGCTGAAGTAGAGGGATATTCTCCCATTTTGAGTACCCAATTTTCTTTGAAGGTCTTTCTGATAAGTCTTTTGTGATTCCTTTCAAATGCTTCCATTTCATAAGTCTATTAGGTTGGTGCAAAGGTAATTGCAGTTTTTGCTGTTAAAAGCAATGGAAACATTACCTAGCTAATTGTTTAATTTATTTTGTAGAGATGGAGTCTTGCCATGTTATCCAGGCTACTCTTGAATTCCTGGACTCAAGCAATCTTCTTGCCTCAGGCTCCAGAGTAGCTAGAACTACAGGCACATGCCACCACCCTTGGCTAATTTATTTATTATTCTTTTTTACAGACAGAGTCTTGCTATGTTGCCCAGGTTTGTCTTGAACTTCTGGGCTCAAGTGATCGTCTCACCTCAGCCTTCTAAAGTGCTAGGATTAAAGGTAGGCACCACTGCACTATTAAAAGTCATGGAAAAACTGCAATTACCTTTGCACCAACCTAATAGAAGCCACATAGAATCCCTGCTGTCCTGCAAATTGTCAAAAATCTGATGATTACAAACAGGAATGTTTTTGATATTATAACAGGGCGTTTAGTTGCCTTTCCATCTGTTTCTCTAATTTTATTGTTTTATTTCATTTTACTTCTTTAACTTCATTTGTCACTTTCCTCCCTAGAGAGTCTTTTCTAGTCTTTTTTTTTGTATTCATTTCCCTCATTTGCTCCTGGAAGCCTCTCCTACACAGCATTTTATTCCACTCTTATAGCATGCCATAACATGGCATCCACTGGGCCACACTTTGTTCAGGCTTTTTAGATTATGTCAATATCAGCATCCTCAGTGTTTCCCTTCCTAATAAAGAATTAAGTATTTTATGACTGCTCTAAGTCATCAGTTTTTTTTTCACTTCCTAGGATAAAAGTGAATGGTTTATAGTGAGGAAAAATATGATCTATTATCTCAACAGCTACTGCACTATTATCGTCAGATAAAATACATTCTAAGTCAGACTCACAGCTGAAGAGTAAAAATTTTCCCCAAAGATTAGTAAGGATTTAGCAGTCCAGAATTACAGGGCAGTGTGGCTGTGTGTTACAGGCATTTGTTTCAGCTTACGCCACACTGGGACGCAGGTTTCTGTCACTTCCACGACGCCATTCACCCCATTCATTTCCTTTGTTCTCACTGACGAATTGCTGTGGTAATGAAATAGTGGTGTTAACAATGATTAACTTGGAGAAAGTATTGGAAGCCCTGGTAATGTTTAAGTTGTTTCCAGGTGTTTTCCTATAACTTCTCGGTATTATAGTGTCTACACTTTTAAAAAATTCCTTAGAATCAACTCACAGGGGAAACTTAAAATTAATTAATTTCAATTTTTTGTATTAACAGTAAAACCACTATTTATATAGCACTACGTACTTTTTCAAAGTGTTCTTATGCCTAGTCTCATGTTTCATGCTTTCAGAAACTTATATGGCACTGTCACCATTTGACAAGGAAAACAATGGCCAAGGAGGTGAAGTAATTTATCCACAGAGTGACTATATGTCTTGGTTTGTGCCTGTTTTCCTGGCATTAGAGCTCCTGTTTATTCTCAAATGTGGCCAAATTAAGACAATAAATAAATTACCTGTCTTAGTCCATTTAGTTGCTATCAAGGAATATCTGAGGCTGGGTGATTTATAAGGAAAAGATGTTTATTTGGCTCACAGTTCTGCAGGCTGTACAAGAAGCATAGCACCAGCGTCTGCTTCTGGTGAGGATCTTAGGTTGCTTCCGCTCATGGCAGAAGGCAGAGGGGAGCTGGTGTGCACAGCGATCACATGGCGAGAGGAGGTGGGAGTGAGGGGGAGGTGCCAGGCTCTTTTCAACAACCAATTCCCACTGGAGCTACAGAGAAAGAACTCACTCACTCTTCAAATCCCGTGAAGGGCATTAAGCTATTCATGAAGTCTCCATTCCCATGATCCAAACACCTATTAGGCCCCACCACCAACCCTGGGGATAAAATTTCAACATGAGGTTTGGAGGTGTCAGATATTCAAGCCATAGTTCACCCTGCTTCTCTGGCACTGGATCCTAAGCCTCTTAACTTCCAGGTTAGATACAAGTACCTTGGTGATTACTTTCCTAGCCTACAGATCATGATATTTAATACTAGTTGGGATAGGAGAATTCCTATGGACATAACTAGATTTGTTATAGATTACTCGAACATAGATTTGTGGATAAATCAGAAATCCCTTAAAAGATATTTAAGTATCTGCACTTTCTCGCCTAATATAATTTCCAACTATAATCATCACTGGCACCACTTATTCCTTTGCTAGATTCATTTGTACTATATCATTTGTTCTACATAAAACACACACTGCTTTTTCTTCTCTGTAAGTTTGTACTTCCAGTAACATTTTCTGAAGTGTGTGCCGAGTGGCTTCCACTTCAATGTTTTCTTTGAATCCACAAGCTGGTGAAGGAAATGGGTCTTGGTGCCCCATCAAATTACAATCTAGATATACTAAAGACACATTATAGTGAGTGGGATAGGAGGGAAAGAAGGTTCCACTCAGAGGTTTTCTCAGGCTTCCAGGTCTCTGCTAGTTCTAGATATTGCTCAGTCATGATTAAAAATAGACAACTCCAAATGTCCTCTTGGCTGAGTTCATTAGTTAGAAAGAGTGGCAAGACTGAGTATGTAAGCAATCATGGTGGAAACGTGGTATGGTAGGCTGAATAATAACCTTGATATATGTCTACATCCCTTTCATGCGGCGTCCGTGTGAAGAGACCACCAAACAGGCTTTGTGTGAGCAACAAAGCTGTTTATTTCACCTGGGTGCAGGTGGGCTGAGTCGGAAAAGAGAGTCAGCGAAGGGAGATGGGGTGGAGCTGTTTTATAGGATTTGGGTAGGTAAAGGAAAATTACAGTCAAAGGGGGGTTGTTCTCTGGCAGGCAGAGTGGGGGTCACAAGGTGCTCAGTAGGAGAGCTTTTGAGCCAGGATGAGCCAGGAGAAGGAATTTCACAAGACAATGTCATCAGTTAAGGCAGGAACCGGCCACCTGGATGTGTACGTGCAGGTCACAGGGGATATGACGGCTTAGCTTGGGCTCAGAGGCCTGACAATCCCAGTCTCTAGAAGCTATGAATGTTATATTATTTGGCAAAAGGGACTTCGCAGATAAGATTAAATTAAGGATCTTGAATAGGGAGGTTATCCTGGATTATTCATAGAATCACAATCCTCCTTATCAGGGTGATGCTGGGGGAGTCAGAGTCAGAGGAGAAGGCAATGTGGTGATGGAAGCAGAGACTGGAGTGATGTACGTTGAAGATGGAGGAAGGAGCCACCTGCCAAGAAACACAGGCAGCCAGTGGAAGCTGGAAAAGTAACAACAAACATTCTCCTTGGACCCTCCAGGGAGGCTGACAGCTTTGCTTTAGCCTTGTGAGAGTATGCTAAAGTTCTGACCTCCAGAAATGTAAGATAATAAATATGACTTGTTTTAAATTCCCAGTTTTGTGGCACAGTTGATCTTTGAACAACATGAGTTTGAACTATGTGGGTCTGTTTATCAGGATTTTTTTCAACCAAACACGAATCCTAAATACGCTATTCAGGAGATGAAAAGCCTGTATCTAGGGAGAGAAACTTTTTGTATATGCAGTTTTGGCCAACTGTGGGACCTGAGAACGTGTGGATTTGGTATACATGTGGGTCCTCGAACCAATCCCCATGTATACCAAAGGCCAACTGTAATTTTTTTTTTTTTTCTTGAGACAGAGTCTCGCTCTATTGCCCAGGCTGGAGTAGTGCAATGGCATAGTCTCAGCTCACTGCAACCTCCGCCTCCCAGGTTCAAGCGATTCTCCTGCCTCAGCCTCCTGAGTAGCTGGGATGACAGGTGCATGCCACCACACCTGGCTAATTTTTGTATTTTTAGTAGTGACGGGGTTTCACCATGTTGGTCAGGCTGGTCTCGAACTGCTGACCTCGTGATCCACCCACCTCGGCCTCCCAAAGTGCTGGGATTACAGGCATGAGCCACCAGGCCCGGCCTGTAATTTGTTACAGTGGCGACAGGACACTAATACATTTGATCGGAACAAAAATGGTGTCTGCAGCAAAAGCAGTATCCTAGACTAGAAATACATTGAGGGAAAAGCTCTTTTTCTTTAAATAACAAAACCCTGACCACTTGGGTATTGATTATTGTTCTCTTTGCTTTGACTTAGAATTTAGGGCCTTTGGTGATACTGAGGAGATAATCATCACAGCTGCCCTTGCAGTAGCAGCTTCTTGTTGAGTTCCTAAAGCACTACCACAGGCTGGCTTGTTTGAGCACCCTATATTTCACATTGTCCCCATAAACTAGATACTTTTGCTTCTGTTCCAAATGAGGAATTGAGGCATATAAAAGTAAGGTAACTTGAGAAAGGCTTTACAGTTAATAAAGGACAACACATAAATTCTTATCCAGTCTTACACTTAAAACCTTTGAACATCTTTACAAAAGAGCTGATTTTAAAAGTATCTGTTAACACAATTTGTTTTATGGAAGTTTCTTCCATATAGATAGATCCACAGGAGGTGAGAGCTTGCTGTACTCATCACATTTGTGATACACATTTGTGTTCCTACAGTGCATTGGCAGGTATCTGGGCCAGGGATATGAGTGAATCAAGCTCACCTTCCCCTCTCCACCAGAGAGTAGGCATGTTCCATGGCAAAGGCATAGAAACAGTTGATTCCCAGGGCTGGAAGGTGGAACTCAGCTGTCATGCCTTTTGATGTTCTGCTCTTGGACTTTCCAAGAACTCTAGGTAGCAATATGGTAAGATAGACGTACAACCAGTTCTGGCCTGGAGAAAGGGAAAAGTCTTCCTCCCCCAGTGAGGCTTAAGGAGCTGGTGAATTTGGCCAGCTCTGCAGGAAATATGTAGAGAAGTCTATTTAGCACTCAAAATTCTGGTTGGGAAGGACATGGTTAATGTGAGGAGAGTAATTCTAGAAAGTTTAATGAAGGAACTGAGCTGAGAGATTACAAATTTGGAATAAATATAGTTATTGCCTCTCTTTAATTATTAAATAGAAGATGTTAAGAGCAGTGGGGACCTGGAGGGTCCTTTCCCCTGTATACATCCTGAGCCTAGGCAAGTCTCCTGAGCTCCTTTGATGGTTTTGGACAGAGGTGGCTCTCAGCCTGGCATCCTAATTCCAGGCCACTGCTGTTCCCAAAGTGCTATGACTCATGCTATGAGAAGGTTTTGTCTTGGAGAAGAGGAGCTTTTCCAGATAGATAAGGAAGGCACGAAGAAGGGCCCACAGTCCAGGATTACCCTCGTGTTTCTGAAGGACCTGTGGAATGGATGTATTGGGAAGTCACGGGAAGTGAGCTTGTCTAAATAGGGTAGGGCTCCTCTCACTGGAAGCATCGTGCATTTGTTTGTCATCATTTCTATGCCTAAATGTCTCCAGAATAGTACATTCATTATTTTATGCCCTGCTTCTGGAAGACTAGCATCATTTTATACCAATGTAGTGCTTTATAATGGAAGTGAATTGGAATGTATCCAACTAATAATAATAACTAATTTATAAGGGGCTGGCTGTATGTAGAAAGTACTGTACTCTGTGCCGTCCATATATTATCTAATGAAACCCTCAAAATAACTCTGAGTTAGATAATGTTACCTCTTTTTTTATAGAGGGGAAAAGTGAGGTCCATTTAATCTCCAAAAGAACCCATGTTTTTCCAAGCATGTAACATCATTTGCTTAGAATAACGTGACAAGGACGTAGCAATAGTAAGATGTAGGCTGGGTGCAGGGGCTCACAGCTGTTTAATCCCAGTGCTTTGAAGGTTGAGTCAGGAGGATCATTTAAGGCCTGGAGTTCCAGACCAGCCTGGGCAACATAGTAAGACCCTTTCTCTATATATAAAAAAAATTAAAAATGGCCAGGCATGGTGGTGTGCACCTGTAGTCTTGGCTACTCTGGAGACTGGGGTAGGAGGATCCCTTGAACCCAGAAGTTTGAGACTTCAGTGAACCACGATTGTGCCACTATACTCCAACCTGGGTAACAGAGTGAGACCCCGTCTCCAAAAAAAAGTAAGATGTGGACATGGGTTACTAGTTGCTAAGTGTGCTGTTTTCATCAATACATAAACTCCAGACAAAAGCAGCAGAGCAGCAGGCAAGTATGGGCTCTGGCTTTGGAGGATACAGGCTTGAATGTCAGATCCACGATTTCCCAGCAGCAGACCTGGGCAAGCTAATTCACCTTTCTGAGTCCCAATTTGCTAATCTGTTAAAATATCAGTGTGTTGTGGGAAGGATTAAGGCATTAATCCCATTAGGCATTTAAAGTGCCTGGCACACGCTATGTGCTTTATAAAGGTGAGCTCTTCAACTTCACCATCTTCTAATTTTATTCTTATGTCTGAGTACAACTTTGTGTCTAATTCAGGATGAAATAATTCCATTAAGAAATGACTCTAAAAGGACCTGGAAAAGATTGCTTTGTATTTCCAAGCCTTCTTGGAATAATTTGTTAGGTTTTAGTTGTCTCTTTCAACAGCAACAGGCTTGCTTACATGGTCTTTTAAAAATAGAATTTGATCCCAACCAGATGTGAGGTAAAATGTTTATACCTACCTCTCTTCTCTTGTGCACTTCACTTCTGAAATACAATTTTCAGATGGGAAATTTTGGGAAAATCTTCTTAGATCTGAATTATAATAAAGGTAGCCCAATATGCAAGGATACTTATATTGGTTAAACTCAGATTTGCCAAGTAGTTTGTGAAGTAAAAATATAGGAGCAATGTTTTAAGTAAAATCTTCCAACTGCTTTTGAAGTGTATTGAAATACATAGTTGCTTGGGAATTTTCAAGACTAGCTAAGATTTCAAAAATAAATGTTTCTTTACTTCCAGGGAAATGCAATGTGTGACCATTATAAAACAACTGGGAAAATAAAAAAGGAAGAAAAGTGTGTGTGTGTCCGTGTGTGCATGCGTGTGTGCATATTAGGATAACAAATTCAGTCTCATTAGCTGGGGCATACAAAGCAATTTAGTATTTATCCCTTTATAACTGTCCTGATTTTCTGCATGATCTCCCTTCCACTCCCCACCCCAAAGGGAGGAAGGGAAGAGTAAACAAAGGGAATCACTATATTTATTCCAAATTTGTAATCTCTGTTATTTCCAACAATTTGAACTGCCTTTTAAGAAAACTAGTCTCTGCTTGGATGGCTCAGGTAAATGACTATTCTTGTGCTTGCCTTTTCCGAAATCACCCTAGTGTTATGAGGGAGTGGTGATTCAGGTGATATGACTTTGTGATGACAGAAGAAGTGGCTTCCTTGAATCTACACAATGTTTTTTGAATCATTTTGTTTGCTTCTCTTTTTTGAGACTGAGTCTGGCTCTTGTCTCCCAGGCTGGAGTGCAATGGCGCGATCTCGGCTCACTGCAACCTCTGCCTCCTGGGTTCAAGCGATTCTTCTGCTTGAGCCTCCCAAGTAGCTGGGATTACAGGCACCCGCCACCATGCCTGGCTAATTTTTGTATTTTTAGTAGAGACAGGGTTTCACCACATTGGCCAGGCTGGTCTCGAACTCCTGACCTCAGGTGATCCACCCACCTTGGCCTCCCAAAGTGCTGAGATTACAGATGTGAGCCACCGTGCCCAGCCTTTTGAATCATTTTGTGTAGCTGGCATGGAGAGACCAACCAAGACTGATTCCTCTTTCATGACCTTTACGGCATAACTGATTCCTTCTGAATTTTTAAGGAGATGTGATTGTAATCAGCAGTCACCATTATTTGCCTCTGGTTTTAAATCCCCCATATCTTGGGGGTGGGAAGGCTTTGTTTGAATCCAGGCTTCTTCTGGCCTACAATCCTTTTAGAACCTCCATGCCCCCTGTGGATTCAGGGACACACTTGGGTCCCTTGCACGTACAACCAGGCTGTGGGAAGCAGGAGCACTACCCTAGTCCCATACATCTGCCATACCATGGACTCATATTGTGTTTGCATTGGCTACAAAAAGGTCTTTTCCTGAGAGACTCAGGGCCTCTCATAAGTATATCATGTAAACTAGGCTGCTGGTGTCAGACTTTCTAAACTTCCCTATACTTATCTGGATGTGCTTAAATTAATGCCTCTGTTTTAGTCTGTTCAGGTTACTATGAAAACAGAATACATAGACTGGGTGGCTTATAAACAACATAAACTTATTTCTCACACTTCTGGAGGCAGGGAAGTCCAAATACAAGGGGCCGGCAGATTCGGTGTCTGGTGAGGGCCTGCTTCCTGCTTCAGAGATGGCCATCTTTTCACACTGTGTCCTCACATAGCAGAAGGGGCAAAGGTGCTCTCTGGGGCCTCTTTTATAAGGACACTAATTCCACGAATGAGGGCTCCACCCTCAGGACCTAATTATCTCCTAAAGGCCTCACTTCCTCATACCATCCAATTGAGGGTTGGGATTTCAACATCTGAATTTTGAGGAATACAAATATTCAATCTATGGCAGCCTCCCTGCAGTCTCCTACTATCACCTTCCATGTATGGTGGTAGAGGCAGGGAGAAACAGCTTCTCATACGTAACCTTTCCCTCCTTCTGTCTACCTCATCTTTATAAAATTCAACAAGCGTCAAAGGGATGGTATTATTTTTTTCTCTTAGTTTATCTGATCTAATTTTATCCTCCCCATGTCACTTTCTTATTCTTCCTAAATCAAGACTTAAAGCTCAATTAATGATAGATAGGGTTCAGGGAGCAAGAAGCTCATTTATTGATAAAGGAACAGAGGACATTTACAAATATTTTACCTGGTCTCTCTCTTATTGTTCTTTGGAACGAATATAATAAGCAATGATACACATCTATATGATAAAAAACCGAATACTAATTTGGTTCTTAAATAAATCTAGAGAGATTTCATGTTTCTGAATTTTGAAAATGCTGGGATATTTGGATACAGTCATTTCACAACACACAGAAAAAAATTCTCTATTGACCAAAAAATTCCCTGTGAGACACAGATCTAATGTGTTTATATAATTTCTTGGTGGTAGAGGAATTTCTAAGCCTACAACTTGGGGTAGAAACTATGTATCATTTAAGAATTATTAATACGTTTGATAACATAAAAATCCACATAGCCTAAAATGCCATTAAAATTTGAAACAAACTACAATCTGGCAAAGTACTATTGTAAAATATTTGGCAAAGAGCTATTTTAAACATCTTATAATGAGTCTTTATCAATCAATAAAAGACTAAAACTCAGTGGAAAATTAGTAAACATCATAATCAGAGATTACCAAAATAGAAGCAAACATCGATGAATTTATGAAATCTTGTTCAATCTCACAAAGATTCAAATAAAATACTATTAATTGCAAGATATTCTAGATTCCAATATGTCAAACAAGCCAAGCTTTCTCTAACCCAGTGTCACATTCTCTGCTGCTGGGCGTCATCTTTTCTAGACAGTATCATGATAATATGTCAAAAATTGTCTAAACATGCTTATATTCTTTTCCCCAATAATCCCACTTCTACAAATTTTATCTAAGGAGATTATTTGAAATATGTATGAACTATTTCTTACTACTATTCCTCACAGCACTTAAAAATAAGCCCAAACTGGAAATATCCAAAATATCAAATGTTGAGATTGATTACGTAAAGAGATATAACACATATAATGGAACACCACGTAGACATTAGAAATGCTGGTTGTAGAAATGTCAACATTTTAAAATACATTATTTAGGTGAAGAAAATAGGTTATAAAAACATGTAATATGTTTGAGATACATGGTATGTGTGTATATATGTAGGTGTGTATCATATTTGATAAAATAACATCCTGTTATGTTTGTTCCTCCTGCCTCTGTCCTGCTCATCATCATTCCTGTCAATGCATTGAAAACCATATGTGAGTGTAGTTGTGTTAGTCTTTTTAATTTGGCTTCACTGAGGTTTCCCTGGTCTGGGGATCTAAGCTGCCCACAGTGCTAATTCCCGCCACTGGATCTGGGTGGATTTCAGCTTGCAGCTCTGCCAGCTGCAAAGTCATTAGGAGGAGTGCATGTGAAGAGTGGCAAGGGCTTGCTCCGATCTCTCCACACCTGTGCCAATGATGGAGCAGCTGCACCCCACCTTGATAAGCTCAGAGCTCACTCCTGCCTTGGGCCAATTTACATCAACCGTCAGAGCTGGGCAGACTGCCTTGAATGTGATAGATAGAGGAGTTGCAATACGTGGCAAACAAATGTTTCAGAGACAGGCAATTATGTTGTCCTTTCATCCCCAGTGAAGATAAGGGTCAGAAAGTAGCTTCTTCGAGCTAAGCAGCCTATATGCTGCATCATTGTGCCAGCTTCATTAAATTAACAACCTTTAAACCTATAGCAGTTTCGAAAACCTTTATATTTAATGAGAAATAAAAGGAAGTTCTTGTCCACAATATTTAATTAAAACAAAAAATTAAAAATATAAACCTATTGGATTAAAATATCTATATTAAAATGATTCTATATTTCCTATTAGGAATGTACTTTAAAATTCTGACTTATATGGTGTCTTCAGCTCTTGTTCCCAGTGCTTACCTGCTGCTCTGGTGTAAAAGACGAATGTGAATTGAACACATCCTGAAAAATCGCAGGACCCCTAATAGGAGTTTTGTGTCTGCCTTCTCTATGATTGTTTTGAAATCACAAATTAGTTGGTAATCCTAAGAAGTACTATGGAACAGAAGAGTTTAACCAGGAGAGTGCTAATTGTCTCTTAATTGGTGACTCTTGGTAATTCAGTTTTTCCGTTGTAGGGAATGTTTCAGATTAAGAGCATATTTGTTGCAAGGAACTGCTTGTGTATTTGTGTATTTAATTTTTTGAATTTTGAGATACATTTGTGAGTTCATGCTGCTATTATCAAAATTTGCCAGCCCTAATGGTAATATGAAGCATATTTGCACTGACACTTTCAATGGTTTCTATTATTGGTACCTGGACAGGCAGGGAAATAAAGCCCTATTTGTTAAAACTAAAAAATTAAGAGGAAACCAAGTCATGGATTTGAATGTATATTCCAGAACTTTATAATTTTGGACAATTTAATAAGACCAAAATTCCCTCTATATTTCCTTTATTTGCTAACTGACAGGCTGGAAGAGGAATTAATGAGAAATTTTATTTGAAGTGTTTCATAATATCTATATTAAATTAGATGCCATTTAAGTTTGGGATATTTTCTCCAGTTATTGTTTTTATTATTATTGATTTGGAAAATGATGAAACAGCATCCTTGAATTATAGATGTGAATAGCGAAGTTCAGCATTTTAATAAAAAATAAAATAAAAATGTCAAGCACCTGCTAGACATCCAGAATTCTTCTGTGCTCTACATGGAGTGTGCTATATATAGAGTGATGTATTAGGCAAGGTTTCTCTTGTAGAGAGACTTATGAACTAGAGGATAGGGCCTTAGAGAGTTTTATATTTCACAATATAGATGAGGAAATGACTTGATTCCCTTGCTGAAATACAGCTCAACAAGAATGTGCTCCCTCCTTCTTGTCTACTTAAGAGAGAAGGGGTGTTAGAGCATGGTGCGGAGTGACTGCGTTAGCAGCCTGGCCACAGATGACATGACCTGTTTAGGATGAGAGGATGCCTAAATGCCATTTATTTTTATCTAATATCCTAACATTATTTCTGGAGAGAGCAGACAATGAAGTAAAGTGAGGGTGGATTCAGGAATCAGAAAGACATGGCTTCATGTCCTTGTTCAGTACTGTACAAGCATTTTGTGTTTGGGTGCAAATGACTAATGTGTTTGAACCTCAGTTTTCTTATCTATAAAAATGAAGATAATACAAAGAGGCTGAAATAAGATAACAACAAAAACACCATCCCAATGTCTTACTCCTAGTCTGTGTTTAATGAATAGTAGCTTTTGTTTGTTGTGGTGAGGGTTAGGAAGGTGCTTATGTCTGGATAAAGGGAATTTAAGAGAGTCATGTTCCCAAGTGAAAGAAAACAAAAGACCTTCAGGTTATCTGTACGTAGCATCATGTTGTCAAAAACTGTAGCTGAGAGATGAGAACTCCAAAATTGGCATACTTTGCTAGAATATTGGGCATTTCCCTGCACTGGTTTTCATCACTTCCTGTTCATATTCTTCTCTGTCTCTTTTTCTCAGAGAGAAAAGCAGTGAATGTTTTGAGTAATACATTCAATGGATTTATATTTCAAAACAAGGAAGGAGGGTGATTTGGTGGAGAGGGAAGATTAAAGGGGGAGGGTAGTTTAAGACTTAGAATCAAGGAAAGCAGTGAGGGAAAGGAGGAATGTGGCCCGAAGGCTTGAGGCTCAGGGAAGAATCTGAGTGGGGCCAAAATGTGAGCTGGGGTGTTCAGCAGCAGGAACCCCTCATTTTCAAGCACTGGCCTGTTGGGGGTGCTGAGATTGCAGGATGAGAAGTAAAGGCTGGAAACGTCTCTTTCAGGCCTGATTCCACTAGAGAGTCTTCCTGAGGAAGGTGAAAATAATTTCGTTCCTATTCTAGTGATATAGGAGTTAAGAAGAAATCACTTAGGCAGACAGTAAAGGTATGGGAGTCCTCTGTAAGGCTTTTCTTTTTAATGAAAAGCAGCCCCAAATCATTTCCTAACAAAGAGCAG
This sequence comes from Homo sapiens, assembly GCF_000001405.40. NCBI lineage: Eukaryota > Metazoa > Chordata > Mammalia > Primates > Hominidae > Homo > Homo sapiens. The sequence continues at coordinate 80,920,335 of NC_000010.11, forward strand.
TCTGTAAAGTAGAGCTGCAAACATAGACAAGCAAGCTGGGAGCTTGCATGGGTGAATGCCGGCAGGAACTAGGGACTAGATGTGTTAAAGATGGCAGCTCCATCTTCCCTTGTCTACCAGCCACGTGTGCAGTAAAGAGCAGACAAGATGGCACTGGCCAAGGAGAGTTTATTTGCATCGTAAGGTTAGGGTGGGGCGACCAGCCTTCTCTGAGCGCTATGTAAACGTTACACCTGATGGAACCAATCTGTGAGCCCTACCTAAATCAGACACCGCTTCCTCAAGCTGGACTATAAAATGTGCATCCGCCACTAGTCAGTCTTTTCTGCTGGGAAGGCTCCTTTCTCTCAATAGAGAGAGCTGTTTTTCTCTCCCTTTTCTTCTGCCTATTAAACCTCCATTCCTAAACTCCTGGTGTGTCTCCGTGTCCTCAATTTTTCTGCCGCGAGATGATGAATCCTAGGTATATACCCCAGACAATGTAACAGCTTCACTAGGAGTGGAATTTTAATAATTATGTAAAACCACAAGGAGCAGCCAGAGGAGGAGAAGGTGTAGAAGTGAGAGAAGCCAGGAGGACTGTAGTGGCAGCCTGAAATGGTCAAATGTTTTCATCCCCAATGAATAGAATTCTAATCACTATGCATTAGTATAAGCACAGGAACTGTGCTAAGTTTAATAAACAGCCTTATTTTCATCTTTTACATGACATTTGTATAACATGTATAATTTCTATAAATTGCCTTGGTGTCCAGAGATGTATACATGTCTCTAAAGGAAGAAGCCCTCATATGCTAAATGAATTATGATGATCGACTTACTTGGGTTAATAATTGATTCACATGAAAGTGAGTAACAGACCAAATTAGAAATTGCTAATTGCCCCATTAGTGACTTGAGAGAGAGAGAAAAAAAAAAAACCTCACACTTTAAACTGTTGTCAATTTGACTGTAGGCGAAAATTTAATTTCTCTAAAAAAAAAAAATAGCATTCAAAGTAGTCAACTTTAAGTAGAATCTGTTCTCCAGGCTTTTTGTTTTCTCTTTAGATGTAGATGCCTTTCTTATCTCCAGTTTCCAATCAGATTTAGATAGCTATAGATATAGGTACTGATTGATGCATTCATCCATCCCCACTTCCAGCACACTACCCCTTCCACCCTTTTGATGTTCCTAGCTTAACCAGAAGAAATAAGCCTGTCATCATCAGTGAAAGGAAGGTAAAGAGTGTCTTGCAGTGGTTATGGTTATGGTCCTAGAAATTTGAGAATTGGTTTGCAATTCTAGCTCTAGTGCTTATTTACTGTGTGATCCTAGATAAGTTCTTGAACCTCTCTGAGCCACTTACTCATGAACAAAAGTAGATAAAATAATAGCATTATAATGAGGATTACATGAAATAATGTCTATAAAACAGTTGTCACAACATCTGGTACTTGGTAAGTAGTTATAAATGTTTGGTCTCATTATTAGTAATATTGTTGATAATTATCACAAAAGTAAAAGGTTATTGGTAAAATTCAACAGTAAGTAAGTAAACAACCCAATTAAAAATTAGCTAAAGATCTGAACAGACATCTTACCAAAGAAGATATACAGATGGCAAATAAACATATGAAAAGATGCTCAACATTATATGTCATTAAGAGAATTCAAATTAAAATAACAATTAAATACCACTACATACCTCTTGGATTGACTGAAATCCAAACACTGACACCACCAAATACTGGTGATGATGTGGAGCAACAGGAACTCTCATCCATTGCTTGTGGGAGTGTAAAATGATACATTCACTTTGGAAGATAGTTTGGCCATTTCTAAAAAAGCTAGACATATGTTTATCATATGAGTCAGTCATCATGCTTCTTGGTATTTACCCAGATAAGTTGAAAACTCATGGATACACACACAAAAAAAAACTGTGCCCAAGGGTTTATAACAGCTTTATTCATAATTGTTCAAACTTGGAAGCAACCAAAATGTCCCTTCAGTAGGTGAATGGATTTAAAAAAAACCGTGATACATCTAGACAATGAAATATTATTCAGGGATGAAAAGAAACAAGCTATCATGACGTGAAAAGACATGGAGGAAACCTAAATGTGTACTACTAAGTGAAAGAAGCCAATCTGAAATGCTTGCAAACTATAACTGCAGCTGTGTGACATTCTGAAAAAGACAAAACTGTAGAGACAGTAAGAGGCAGTAAAAAGATTAGTGGTTGCCAGATGATGAGCTGGGGGGCAGTTGGAGGGTGCAGGGAAGAGGGATGAATAGTTTGAGTACAGAGGATTTTTAGGGCAGTAAAATTATTTTTTTATGATACTGTAATGCTAGCCAAATATTATAAATATGTGAAAACCCACAAAATGTGCAATAGGAAAAGTAAACCCTAATGTAAACTATAGACTTTAGTTAATAATAAGGTATTAATATTGGTTCAATTGTAATAAACCATGTGTGTGTGGGTGGAGGGGTAAGGGAATGTATGGGAGCTCTGTACTTCCTGCTCAATGTGGTTTTTCTGTAAACCTAAAAATGCTCTAAAAATAAAGGTATTAAAGTCACTGGGGATAAAAAGATCTTAAAAAGGTTATAAAAGACAGTGATATCCGAAGTATCAAGAATCAGACTGATATCAGACTTCTCAAAAACAGTGGCATAAAATGCTTTCAAAATTGAAGGAATATGATTTTAAATGTAGAAATGTCACCTGAGTAGAATAAAATCATTTTTAAACATAAAAAAATATTATTGGTGCTATGATCAAAGTCTGTACAGTGAGGCAGAAAGGAAGTCAGTGCTACTCTGGGAGAGATTTAAGAAAGGCTTGACAGAATAAGTAGCCCCTAAATCTTAAAAATGAGGAGGTGAATGAGAAATGGATATACAGAGGAAATGTATACTGGGTAGAAGGAGCAACAGCATCAAGGATGAAGTATCGTGGTACATTCTGGAAACTACCAGTAGTTCCATATGGGTGCGATTTAGAGTAGCAGTGGGGAATATGGGCTAGGATAAAACTAAGATGTAAAGTGGCTACCTCCTGAATGGTCCTGTATGTCGTGCCAAGCTTCCAAACTTTACAGTTAGACCAGGGGTTGACAAACTTTCTCTGTAAGTGGCTGGGGGCAACTAGTTTGGACTTTGTGAGCCATGTGGTCTTATTTGCCACTGCTCAGCTCAGCTGTGGTAGCACGAAGGCAGCCATAGACAATATACAAATGAATGGGAGTGTCTGTGTTCTAATAAAACTACTTTATTTACAAAACCAGGTGGAAGGCTGGGTTTGGCCTAGAGGTCATAGTTTGCCAACACCTCTTCTACATCACGGAGAGTTAAAAAAGTTTTAACCGGGCAAGTAACATCACATTTGAGTTTCAGAAAAATTATCTCAATGGTAGTGCAAAGAATGTACCAGGCAATAGCAGGACAAGGGAGAAGAGGATTATTTCAGAGACAGTGATAATAACCTAGGCAAGATACAGAGAAGCCATAATCCAAACCACTGAGGAATGAAATAATGTATGAGAGAGTAAAAGATGTGAAGAGAGTACAATCAGTAAAATGGTCATGGATTAAAGTGCACGAAAGACAGGAAGGAGGAGTACTTTAGTCTCAATGGCACAATATATTATATTTCTGATAGAATAAGAGGAAAAGAAACTACATTTAGTAGAAATATATTGGGTTTAGTTTTGAGCTTCCTGAGGTTCAGCCAGAAATCTGACCAACTACTATATAAATGACCCATGATGCCCTCTGTATGTTAGTCCCTAGGTTGTTTATTTCTTCATGGCAGGCTAAGACCTATTAGCTCAAAAGCATACTAGTCCAAAACTCAAATTGCTACACACCCAATTGTTTTAAATATAGCTCAAACAAGCAGATTTTTAGCCATTTGGAGCCTGCCTGCTTTGCATACCCCACAAAACTGCATCTAACATCTGCTAGCTATAGATAGAATAAAACCCTGGGTATTTAATACCCCAAGTTGCTACTGCCACTTGGAGCTCTCTGACCCAAAGACTTCATGCCTTGCTACTGCGAGACAGAAACTAGACATGTAAACCCCTCTCCGATACTCCTTTTCCCTAAGAGTTCCCTTGCCCTCCTACCCATGGTCTCATGCTGCAGGGGCTGATGTTTCAGACACATCAGCCAAATAAAGCATGTGCGTGCTACTGCCACCTCGTGGTCATATCTTTTTCCTTGATCAGTTCCACAATTCCCCAAACTCCATAATTACAGAGATCCATGAAAGCTTTGTTGGTATATGTCGGATATTTGATGTCAAAGGAGTGGGTGATTTTTCTGAGGAAGACCGTATAGAGTATGAAGAGGAGGTCAAGGATGAAAACCTTACAGATTCCTCAGGAGATGTCATTACATAACATCCGGGAACAAGATAAGAAGCTTGAAAAGAAATTACTAAGAAGGAAATAAGACAGCAAGCTGGGAGTACTATAAAGGAAAGAAGCAATTTCAAGAAAAAAAGAATGGTCTAGTTTTAGTTCCACAGAGAGGTCAAAAAAGGCTAGACCTGAAGCCAATTTACTGTATTTGGATATTAGGGGCTCCTTGCAGGAGCAGTTTCAGTGGAATAATCAGGACAGAGCCCTGATGGTAGTGAGTTGAAAAGTGCCTAGAAAGTGAGAGAAATTTTGAAGAGTTAAGCAATAGAGAGTGAGAACAATATAAGCCCTGATATGGATTGCTGAGTGACACAGAGATTTTCAATGAGGACGGAGACTGTAAATAACAATTCATACATCATGTGCTTTTCTGTAGGTCTACAGACACCCAGAAGGACAACCAGGGAAGGAAAGATTGCGTTGATCTAAGGAGGAAGATTTTAAGGGCAGGAATCTTAGGTAGATAAACAAATGTGTGGAACTACTGTAGATGTTGGTGAGAGCATGGCATGTTGAATCACAATATTTACACAGGATAGGGAGAACAAGAATCTTTGACTAAGTTAAGGCCCTAGGCCCTAAAATACAGATAATTTAAAAGACTTGGGTTTCCAAAAAGTGTTCACTGTAGGAATGTTAGGAATGAGAGATGAGAAAGCTGTATGAACAACACATTATAAAAGTTCATATCTGGTGCTGTGGAAAGAGAACTGGGCTTGATATCAAACTAAGATCTGACTGTGATTCTGTCACTTCCTAGCAGGCTGACCTTGGATGAATCGTCCATTGACTCTGAGCTCAGTTGAATGGTAAGATGGGAAAATTTACTTTTCTATGGCATTCGTTGGTATCAGACTCAAGGGAAATATTAATAGGTGTGATGATGTTTTATGCATATGTAAAATTGATGCACAGTAAGGTCTGTGGCATGTTAGGATGTCCATATTACTCTTGATTGTCTTTATACATAGTCACTCCTTATCCACCATTTTGCTTTTTGTGGTTTCAGTTACCCAAGGTCTACTGTGGTCTGAAAATATTAAATGAAAAATTCTAGAAAAAGAGATTTATAAGTTTTAAATCATATGCCATTCCAAGTAGTGTGATGAAATCTGAAGCCTTTCTGTTCTGTCCTACCTGACACGTGAATTATCCCTTTGTCCAGCATATCCATGCTGTACACATGCTACCCATCTGTTAGTCACTTAGCAACCATTTGGGTTATTAGATGGGCTATCATAGTATCACAGTGCATGTGTTTAAGTAATCCTTATTTTACTGAATAATGGCCCCAAAATGCAAGACTAGTGATGCTGGCATGCTGTTATAATTGTTCTATTTTATTATTGATTATTATTGTTAATGTCTTACTGTGCCTACTTTATAAATTAAACTTTATCATAAGTATCATGTATATGTAAACACATAATACAGTTTATATAGGGTTTGGTATTATCCTCAGTTTCAGGCATTCAATGGGGGTCTTGGAATGTATCCCCTGTGTATAACAATATAGAAACACTCAAATTGATGGTTCTCAATCCTGACTGCTTATCATAATTTTCTACAGAGCTTTTTAAAAATACATATGCTTGGCTTCTAATTCTTATTCCAAATTCAGAAAGGGACCTGTATTAAAAAAACACAAAAACAAAAAACCTCCAGAGGTGATTCTTATGTGTCATTCTGACAAGAACTCTAAACTTTCAAAATTGAACTGGAGAAAGGAAGTTCCTGAATAGCTGAGTGGTAGTGTTTCTGAGATAGCAAAACCTTTACTTTCTTTGATTGTCTTTGATTGAAACAAGTATTTTGAGCAACCCTAGATATACTTTTCCCTCAATAACATTAAAATGTGTATTATCTTATTCTGTTTTACACTTTTATAATATTTTTTGGCTAATGTTCCTCATAAATACATTCTCATTTAAAATATTTTTATGATAAATAAGTGGCAAGAATATTACAGTCTTTGGAAAGATTGATAAAAAATAATCAAACAAAGGTCTTTTTAAGTACAAATACTTGAAAGATTTTGAATAGGATTGAATGGCTGAGGGAATGAAAGTTAAACTACAACTTAAAAAATTTACATTTGAAAATAATTGGTATTTTCTCATGTTATAATTTAAAATTTTTTTCAAGTATGTTAATTCATTTTGTCATTTTTTAATATCCCCTCACAGCTGGACATGATTGTTATTGTTATCATCCCTAATTTACAAATACTGAAACTAAGCCTCATGGAGTGACCACTTGAAGATCACATATCTAGTAAGTGGAGAGCTGAAATTCAAAGGCAGGGGATCTTACTTAAAATGTCACACTGTTAAAAAATCTCCCAAAACTGGGAGGCAAAGGCAAAAAATGGGCCAAGTTGATCATAACTGACTTAAAATTACAATGAGTTTAGTGGCCACGGTTAAAATGACAGAGTAGGTAGTTCCAAAGGCCTGCCTCTCCAGAAAAAACACTGAAAAATTGAATGAAAATGGTCAGAATCAACTTTGTCAGAACTCTGGGAAATAGTCAAAAATTTATAGCAAATAAGCAAACACTGAATCAAAAAAGATAACGTAAAAATGGCAAGAAAGCTTTGTGGCAGTTTTATCTGCTTTTACCCCTCTGCCATCCCTAGCTCAGTTGTGGTCTAAAGACAGAAGCTGCTGTTCCCAGTGTGAAGCCTTGGTCCCTGCTTTTGGACGGAGCAGAAAAAAACTTAATCTCAAATAACTTTTTTGGTCTGTTTTGACTGTTTGGGGACTACCTGAAGAACTGATATAAAGCATTTGCCTTTGTTTTACCTAGTTTTGAACTTTTTCAGGGCAGGAAAGCACCTATACCTAGGGTATTTCTTGAAAACATTGTAAGGCAAATGAGCAACCCGGTGCTATCTGGGGCTAAAGATTACAGTTGACACAAATAGTACACACGCTGAAAGCCTGGGAGAAAGATTCTTTGGGAAATTAGGGAAAGAATATCACCCATGTATATCAGGGACTTTTGAAAGTCACACACAAGCTTGGCATAAAACGTGTGCTCAGAAAAAAATCTGAAAAGACCCTAAGCTTTTATCTCTGGATGACCCCTAGGCTCAGCACAAACAGTTAAAGAAGGCTAAGGCAGAGTTCTAAATTGCCTGGCTAAGCATTAAATCAGTGTCCCAACACAGAGCCAATCTCCAAAGACTGGGAAAGTTTCTTTCTCTTCTTTCCTCTCTCTCTTCCTGCTTTTTCTTTCTTTATCCCAGGTGGACACGGTAAATACCCTAGCTGACCAAGCTAAAGGAACAGAGACTTCAGAGACTACACATGACAAAGAATTAGACTTTACAAAAATTATTAGAAATGTCACTAAGCAAACAACTCTACCCAAAGTAAGCAGCAAAAACAAACCCTGGAGAGGGAAGAAAAATCATATTTCTAGAGTTGCCACATTATAATATTCCAAGATGTTTGGTTTTCAACAAAAAAATAAGAAGCATGCAAATAAAAGAGGTATAGCACATGCATAGGGGAAACTACAGAAACTGTTCCTGAGAAATCACTGACATTGAATGACTTACTAGACAAAGATTTTAAGTCAACTGTTTTAAATATGCTCAAGGAGTTAAAAGAAACCAGAAGAACTATGTCTCACCAAATAGGAAATATTGACAAAGAATTATAAGTTATAGAAAGAAACACAGCAAGAATTTTGGGGCTGAGAATGATAATAAATGAAGTAAAAAATCCACTAGAGGATTTCAATAGCAGATGTGAGCAGGCAGAAGAAAGAATCAGCAAATTTGAAGGTAGGTTAATTAAAATTATTAAGAAAGAGTAGCACAAAGAAAAGAGAATGAAGATAATAAACAGAGCCTAAGAGACCCTTGGGGCACCATCCAACATATACTCAAAATGGGACTCTCAAAAGAAGAGAGAATGGGGAAATAATATTTGAAGAAATAATGACTGAAAACTTCCCAAATTTGATAGAAGACACAAAACTACATATCTAAGAAGGTCATTGAACTCCAGGATGGATAAATGCAAAGAGGTCCACACTGAGCTATGTTATGATCAAACTGTCAAAAGTTAAAAATAAAGAAAATCTGAAAGCAGCAATAGGAAAGTGACTGTCACATACCAGGTACCCTCAATGACATTGACAGCCAATTTTTAGCAGAAACTGGAAGTCAGAAGGCAGTGGGATGACATAGTAAAAGTGCTGAAGGAAAAAATATCTGTTACTCAAGAATTCCATATTCAGCAATATTCTTTTTCAACAATGGAGGGAAAGTTAGGAGAGCCTCAGATAAACAAAAGTGATGGGAGTTCGTCACTAGCAAACATGTAACACATGAAATGATAAAGAGAGTCCTTCAGGCAAAAGCAAAGACACAAGAAAGTAACTTGAAATCATATGAGAAAGAAAGAACCCTGGCAAAGGTAGCAACATATGTAAATACTAAAGCCAGTATTGTGGAATTTTTCATTTGTAACTCTTTCCATTTGTAAATGATTTAAAAGACAAATACATAAAAATTGTAAATCTATGTTAATTGGAGCACAATGAATAAAGATGTCATTTGTGACAACATAAAGGGGCAAGGGTAGCCTGTATAGAAGCAGGGATTTTGTATATTATTGAGCCTAAATTGAATTAATTAAAAATAGATTGTTATAAGTTTAAGAGGTTAATTATAATCCCCAGGTATCACTAAGAAAATAACTAGAATTTTATTGTCTTAGCTCAGCTGCTATAACAAAATACCATAAGCTGGGTGGCCCACAAACAACAGAAACTTATTTTTCACAGTTCTGGAGGCTGGTAGTTAAAATCATGGAACTAGCATGGTCAAGTTCTTGTGAGGGCCCTCTTCTGGTAGACTGCTAACTTCTTGTTGTATTCTCACATGGCAGAAAGAGCAAGCTAACTCTCTGGCTTATTCTTATATGGGCACTAATCACACTGTTTGGGCTTTACCCTCATCACATAATTACCTCTCAAAGGCCCTAATACTACCACATTGGGGTTAAATTTAAACATATTAATTTTGCAGAAACATGAACATTCAGCCAATAACAACATCTATGAGAAACCCAGAGCCAACATCATACTTCATGGTAGGAGACTGATGCTTTGCTCCTAAGATCAGGAACAAGACATGGATGTCACTCTCACCACTTCTACTTAATGTTTTCCTAGAGGATCTAGCCAGGGAAATTAGGCAAAAACAAAAATAGAAGACATTCAAAATAGAAAGGGAGAAATAAAGCTCTCTCTGTTTACAGATGACAATATCTTATATATAAAAAAATCCCAAAGAATCCACTAAAAATCCATTAGAATAAATGAATTAAGCATGATTACAAAATTTAAAAAATCGGTTGTATTTCTGTACACTGGAAATAAATAATCTGAAAATAAAATTAAGAGAAATATTTTGTTTACAACATTGAAAATAATAAAATTCTTTGTGATAAACTAAACAAGAAATGCAAAAACATGTACCCTGAAACCTGTAAAATATTGTGCAAGAAATTAAAGAAGACCTACATAAGTGGATAAACATTCCATGTTCATGAATCTGAAGATTTAACATTAAGATGGCAATAATTCCCAAATTGTTCTAACAGATTCAATGCAATCACTGTAAGAATCCTGAATTACTTATTTGTAGAAATTGACAAGCTAATTCTAAAACTTATATGGAATTCCAAGTGATCCATAACCTTGGGGGAAAAAAAGAACAAAGTGGAGGACTCATACTTTTTTTTATTTCAATAGTTACTATAAAGCAACAGTAAGCAAGGTTGTATACTGGCATTAGGATAGACGTATAGCTGAATGAAATCGAATTTAGAGTCCATACATACACCCATACATTTATGGTTGAGTGATTTTCATCAAGGGTCCTAAGACCATTAGAAGGAGAAAGAAATCTTTTCAACTAATAGTGCTGGGACAATTGGAATGTCACATGCAAAAGAATGAGGTTGGACCCCTACCTTATACCATATGCAATAATTAACTCTACATGGACCAGATTCCTAAATGTAAGAGCTAAACTGTAAAATTCTTATGATAAAACGTAGCGGTAAATCTTCCTGACCTTGAATTTGGCAAAATATTCTTGGATATGACACTAAAAGCATGAGCAATGAGAGAAGAAATAAGCTAGACCTAATTGCAATTAAAAACTTTTTGCTTCAAAGGACACCATCAAAAAAGTGAAAAGACAACAGAATGGAAGTAAATATTTGCAATCTGATAATCTATACCTAAAAAAATTTAAAAATTTTGTCAATTAATAATAAAAAGACAATCAAGTTAAAATACAATCAAATTATTTGAATAGAAATATCTGCAAGAAAGACCACAAATGGTCAATAAACAAAGGACACTCAACATCATTCGTCATCAGGTAAATACAAATAAGACCACAATGAGGTACCACTTTACACCCCCTTGATGGTTGTAATCAGAAAGTCAGATAAAAACAAATGTTGCTGAAGAGTTGAAGAAATTGGAACCTCATATACTGTCGAGTATGTACAATGGTGCAGCCACTTTGGAAAACAATCTGGCAGTTCATCAAATGATTAAAGACAGACTTTCTATATGATCCAGAAATTCCAATCCTAGGTGTGTACCCAAGAAGAGTAAAAACATATGTGCACATAGAAACTTGTATACAAATACTTATAGCAGCATTATTCATAATTTCCAAAAGGCAGAAGGAACCCAAAATGAATGAACAAAATATTCTTTAGTCATAAAAATAATAAAGAACTGATACATGTTACAACATGAATAAACCTTGAAAACATTATATTAAGTGAAAGAAGTCAGTCACAAAAGAGCACATATTATATGAATCCATTTATATGAAAGTTTTAAATAGTGAAACCTATAGAGTTGGAACATAGTAGTTGCTTAGGCTTGGGTGTGGAGCAGGGGAACACAGGATGAAAGTAGGATGATAGCTAAAGGGGATAGAGTTTCTTTCTTGAGGTCATAAAAATGTTATAAATTTGACTCTGGTGATAATTAAACATATCTGTAAAATGTACTTAAAACCATTGAGTTGTACAGTTTAAATGGGAAAACTGTACAGTGTATGAATTATATCTCAATAAAGCTTTAAAAAAAGAAGAAATAGAAAATATAAATAGACCTATAATTGAAAATGAGATTGAACCAGTAGTCAAAAATCTCATAACAAAGAAAAGTCTTGAACCAGATGGCCTGCCTTGTGAATTGTATGACTCGTTTTAAGAAGAATTGACACAAATCTTTGTCGAATTCTTCCAAAGAATAGAAAAGGAAAAACTTCCTAACTCATTCCATGAGCTCAGCATTACCCTAATGCCAAAGCCAAAGGTACACGGGAAAACTATAGATTGATATCCTTTACAAATGCAAATGTAAGAATGCTCAAAAATACTAGCAAACAACATTTTAAAATGATTATACGCCATGATCAAATGGTGTGCAAGAGTAGTTCAATATATAAAGGTCAATAAATTCCATATATTATGTCAAAAGAATAATTTTAAAAATCACATGACTATTTCAATAGATGCATAAAAAGCATCAGACAAAATCTAACAGCCTTTTAAGATTAAAAACGCTTAGCAAACTATAACTAGAAGGGAAGTTCCTCAATCTGTCAATGGACACTAAAATGAAAAGCAAAAAACAACAACAACAAAAACCCCACAGTTAACATTATACTCAATGGTAGGAAAATAAATAAAAGGCATCTAAATAGGAAAAGAAGAAGTAAAACTACCCTTGTTTGTTGATGACATACACAGAAAATCCTAAAGAACCCATACACAAAAAGTATCATAGATAATGAATTCAGAAAATTTGCAGGATTAACATAGAAAAGTCAGGTATATTTTTACATATTAGCAATGAAGAATTGAAAGTGAAATTAAGAAAACAATTCTGTTTACAATAGTGTTTATAAGAATACAATACCTGGCAATAAATGTATCCAGGCAAATTGTTATGAGCTGAATTGTGTCCCCACAAAATTCATGTTAAAGCTCTAATGCCCAGTTCCGAAAAATGTGACTATATTTGGAGATAGGGCATTAAAGAGGCAATAAAGTTAACATAAGGCTCTTATAGTGTGGGACTTAATCAATCTGACTGGTGTCTTTATAAGAAGAGAAAATTTGGACACACAAACACTAGTTATGTACACTCACAGAGAAAAGACCATGTGAAGACACAGTGAGAAGTCATCCATCTGCAAGCTAAAAACAGAGCATCAGAATGAAACCAAACCCACCAACAGCTTCATCTTGGACTTTCAGCATCCAGAAATGAGAGAAAATAAATTTATGTTGCTTAAGACACCTAATATTTGGTATTTTGTTACGGCAGCACTAGCAAAGAAATACAAGGTGAAATCTACAAAATATTGCTGAAAGAAATTATGGAAGACTTAAGTAAGTGGAAAAACTTATATACATGGGTTGGAAGACAATATTATTAAGATGACAATGCTACCTAAATAATCTATAGATTCAGTATAATCCTTACTAAAATTCTCATGGCCATTTTTACATAAATAAAAATGCTGATTCTTAAATTTAATTAGAATTGCGAAGGCATCCAAATAGTTAAAACAGTCTTGAAAAAGAAGAACAAAGTCAGCTGACACACACTCCTGATTTCAAAACTTAGTACAAAACATTTGTAATTAAAACAGTGTCATATTGGCATAAAGACAGACATATAAGTAAATGGAAAAGAATTGAGATCCAGAAGTAAACTGAGACATACTTGTGGTCAACAGGGTTTGGACAAAAGAAAAATAAAAGTCTTTTCAACAAATGGTGCTATCACAGCACAATGCCTATAGGGGAAAAAAAAAAAGAATTTTGACCACTACCTCACACTGTATATCCATATTAACTCAAAATGAATCATGAGTCTTAATGTAAAAGCTAAAACTATAAAAATTTTAAGATATTACATAGGGGCATATCTCTACTGACCTAAATTTGTCAATGGATTTTTAGGTGTGACAACAAGAGATGACATAAATAACATTAAAATTCAAAATTTTGTGCGTCAAAGGATGTTATTTAAAAAGTGAAAAGACTACAAAGTGGGATAAAATATTCACAAATCATATATCTGATAAGGATCTGGTATCTAGAATATGTAAAAAACTGTTATAACTTAAAAGACAAGAAAAACAATTTAAAAATTGGTAAAAATCTTGAATAGGCATTTCTTCAAAGAAATAAAAATGGCCAAGAAGCACCTGAAAATATGTTCTACATTATTAGTCATTAGAGAAATGCAAATCAAACACATAATGAAATACCACTTTATACCCACTAGGATTGCTACAAGTAAAAGAAGAAAAATAAAAGTAAATGACAATGTGGAAACATTTGAACCCTCGTATGTACCTGGTGGGAATGTAAAAGATGTAGCTACTTTGGAAAATGGACTGATAGCAGCCATTCTGACTAGTGTGAGATGATGTCTCACTGTGGTTTTTATTTGCATTTCTCTAATGATCAGTGATGTTGAGCTCTTTTTTTTCTTATGATTGTTGCCCGCATGTGTGTCTTCTTTTGAAAAGTGGTCTGCTCATGTCCTTTGCCCACTTTTTACAGGGGTTTGGTTTTTTTTGCTTGTAAAAGTTTCTCATAGATGCTGTATATTAGACCTTTGTCAGATACACAGTTTGCAAAATTTTTCTCCTGGAAAAAAAGGAACACTTCTACACTTCTGGTGCGAGTGTAAATTAGTTCAACCATTGTGGAAGACAGGGTGGTGATTCCTCAAAAACTCTAAAAACAGAAATACAATTTGACCCAGCAGTTCCATTACTGGGTGTATATACAAAGGAATAGAAATCATTCTGTTATAAAGATACATGCGTGCGTATTTTCATTGCAGCATTATTCACAATAGCAAAGACATAGAATCAACCTCAATGCCTATTAGTGTTAGACTGGATAAAGAAAATGTGGCACATACACGCCATGGAACACTATGTGGCCATAAAAAAGAATGATATCATGTTTTTTGCAGGAACATGGGTGGAACTGGAGGCCATTATCCTTGGCAAACTAATGCAGGAACAGAAAACCAAATACGGTATGTTCTCACTTATAAGTAAGTGGGAGCTATACAATGAGAACCCATGGACAAGCAGAGGGAAACAACACATACTGGGGCCTATCAGAGGGTGGAGGGTGGGAAGAGGAAGAGGATCAAGAAAAATAACTAATAGGTACTAGGCTTAATACCCAGGAGACAAAATAATCTGTACAACAAATGTTCATGACAGTTTACCTACATAACAAACCTGCACATATACCCCTGAACTTAAATGTTAAATTTAAGAAAAAAGAAAATGGTTTGAAAGTTCCTCAGAAAGTTAAGCATACAATTAGTATTTAACTCAGCAGCAATTCCACTCCTGGGTACCTCAAATTAAAAATAGTTACTCAAATGCTTGTTCATGAGTGTTCATAGTAGTGCTATTGACAATAGCCAAAAGGTGGAAACAATGTGTTTATTATGGATGAATGGACAGGATATCAAGATTAACACTTCCTCTTCCTCTTTCTTCTCAGCCTACTCAACTCGAAGAAGATGAGGCTGAAGACCTTTATAATGATCCATTTCCACTTAATGAATAGTAAATATATTTTCTCTTCCTTATGATTTTCTTAATAACATTTTCTTTTCTCTGGCTTTATTGTAAGAATATAGCATGTAATACATATAATATACAAAATATGTGTTAATTGATTGTTTATGTTAATGGTAAGGCTTCTAGTTAACAGGCAAGGCTTCTGATCAATGGTAGACTATTAATAGTTAAATTTTGGAGAAATGAAAAGTTATATGTGGATTTTCATCTGTATAGAGGCACCCCTAACCTCCACATTGTTCAAGGGTCAGCTGTATTTAATTTCCTCAAACTGTAGTTCTTTAATATCTCTTTTATTTACAACATTTGCTCTTATTGTAATGATACGAGCATGTGTTTGAATTTTCTGGAGACACTAAAAAGTAAGATTTTGTCTTTTTGTTTTAGGTTCATTATTCTTCCCAGAAAATCTGTTTCTTACTGGTGTTAACAAAAGACCATGAGATCTGCAGAAGAAAAAGGGAGAGCTTTATTTTCTACATCAAACAAACAAAAATCTTCAGATTGGGGAGACATAACCCCTGGTGTAAAAGGAAAGCATGTTTCAGAGAACTGAGAGGGGCTCTGACTAAAATAGGGAGAGTTCCTGCTCCAGGCCTTCAACTGGGTCTTTATATGTAAATGAAAGATTTAAATACATTCAGTCCAGATTGGTTGAGAACGACTGAGTCCCAATTGGGTAGTTTCTAAGCCCCAAACCAGAAGTCGGTTGTCTGGCCCTTTTAGTGGGGCTGGGGGTGCTTTCTGGTCACCTGTCTCAGCTCTGGTTTCAGGAACTGTCTTAGCTCAGACTGGAGCTGCCTTCTCCAGCAACAAAGGGTGTGTGACTGCCCTTGTCTCACTCACCGTAGCTACTGTTTCTTATTATTTTAATATGGGTGTGTCTATCAGCTACAGAGTCTTTCCTTCCATATTCTTTTGCTTTCTCTTTTTCAAAGAAAAAGAGAATTAAAGGCTTCAATTTCCCTTCTCTTTTTTCTTGGTTTACTAGTTTGTTTTCTCTAATACTTCAGTTTTTCTCATTTAGTTGCTGATTGCTGGGTTTTTGTTTTAGTGGGAGTGAGCCAGGAGGAGGCAATTTCCACAAATGCCAGTGTAAGGAGGGCTTATTTTCCCAATAATCTAGTTTCCCAGGAGCATTTTCTTTAATTTCTTAAGAAAAGAGCCTTTTTTTCTTTTGATGTCATTTGTTTTGTTTGAATCATATATGCTGTACTGCTTGTCACTGTGCTTGTGGGGGCCATGGTTGAGGCGATTGGCACTATAGTTTTCAATATAGACCTTGAATTATCTCCTCTATTTACTGGCATGTATATTTGAGCTGCAACTTTCATTTTCGGTTTCAAATAAAAATATTTTTTCATCCACTTTTTGTCTTCCAGAAAGTAATCTTAACTTTCATGTGCTGATGATGCTGTCTTCTGCCCCTCCCTTTATCGGTCAATTCCATGATAAATTATTTGACTGTTATTTTATTGGTTCTCATACTGGCGGGTAGCAAATGTTTGTGCTCAGTCTATTGGCTGACACCAGGATTCTCGTGAAATTAACAGTTTTCCTTCAGATATTTTTAAAGCTATGTTGCTTAGGTCATGGCATAGGTTATGACTTTGGTTTCCTTACTGTAAACAAACTTTCAATTAAGTCCAATGTGTTCAGCCCTCTGTATTTCCATCTTCAAAATTCTGAAATTAGACCCCTTTGGAAGCTCTTCTGAGCAGATAATAGGGGAGATGAAGGTGGAGGTGGCCTAATTATTATATTTCATAATGGCAAGTCAATATATTTAGAATAGAGCACGCAAGCCAAGAAATAGATATGCAAACATATTATTAAGTATAATAAAATTATTGTCAGAAGAACAAGTTAAAAGTGTTTGTCCCTGGGGAATAGGATTAAGCATATAGTGAATCAAGAATACATTGCTGTTGCTTGTAAGCTCCCAGGCATTCTTTCAGTTTTTACCTATGTGCCTCTTTTGATTTTCTATTTTTAGTTTTTCTAGTGGTCTTATCCTTAATTCTAAATAATGTTCTACAGTTCTATTTTACATTTTCTAAACAGTAGGCATTATCCACTCACTCTCCTTACTAGAAAAGAGGAAGAGTTGCCTTATCCTGGTTTTCTTTGTCTCTCCTTTTCCCAGTTATTAAGATGCATGTCCATGCATTGATGGTTGTTGTTGTGATTGTTGTTTTGGTTGCTTTTTTTCCCTCTTCCTCCTCTGTTTCCACTTGTTCTTCTTCCTCAAAAATGAGGCAAAAATATGTGGGGTGATCCAAAGCAATGTGGTGAGTGCTCATGTGTGTTGCCTGGACCCTCCCTTAGGGACTGAAACACACGATTTCCCCAGTTCAGGGAGTGTTGACTGCAGAAGAATTACATCTGCATTGCTCTCTGGTCACTCCTGTTGGTCTGGGAACTGCCTTGCTCAAGGTCTATCCCCTCCCTGGGGCAGCTGACATCTAATAACTGTTCAGTGAGAAAATAAAAAAGGCTCAACTCCCTTGTCTCGATTTGAGATAACTCTGAAGAACCACCCTAGCTCCAGAACTTTCCGGGAGATCAGCTAAGGGCTCTGGTGCAGCTGAACAATTCTAACTTCTCACTCTGCTTTGTCCTGCTTCCTTCTATGCTTTGCTGGAGTTGATTCCAAAAGCACCCCCACAATAAACCTCCCCATCTCAGAGCCTGTTTCCTGGAGAATTGAGCATACCATATTAGAAGTCATAAAAGTAAGCACTGGGCCGGTCATGGTGGCTCACGCTTATAATCCCAGCACTTTGGAAGGCTGAGGCGGGTGGATCACAAGGTCAGGAATTCGAGACCATCCTGGCCAACATGGTGAAACCCTGTCTCTACTAAAAATACAAAAAATTAGCCAGGCGTGGTGGCGTATGCCTGTAGTCCCACCTACTCGGGAGGCTGAGGCAGGAGAATTGCTTGAACCCAGGAGGTGGAGGTTGCAGTGAGCCAAGATCGTGACACTGCACTCCAGCCTGATGACAGAGCGAGACTCCATCTGATAAAAAAAAAAAAAAAAGTAAGCACTGGAAGAACTAAACACACACACAAAAATTAAAAGTAATTGCTTTACATTAGGGTAAAAAAAGAGTTTGGGCTGTTTTATACCACAAACCATTTATATCATATTTGCTTTTCACCATGTTAAAAGCAAATAAAATTCGGGACTGTTGAAGTTTAAGAAAAACAAACTATAAACTATAAAGAAAACTAATGATTCAATATGGCAATTTTAGAACTGCATTTGTCATCCAACTTGTATCAATTCCCATTGAAATTATACAAAAGGTCAGGCTTGGAAACCATGTCAGCAATTTTGTGGAATTTTGCAGACTCTTTTCAGCAGATATACTAGAAAAGCATACTGTATTGAGGAAAGGGCTAATGGATCAATATTAATTTTATATGGGGAAAATACTTATGTAACAAATATTTCCTGAGCACTTATTGTGTGTGTGTGGGGGCAGGCAATAAGCAAATGAACCTGTAATACATAACATGTCAGAGGGTGATAGCTGCTGAAAGAAAGATAAAAGAGAGTCATGGCAAGAGGGGCTGTAAAGAGGAAGAAAGGTGGGTCATGGGCAGATTTTGGAGGAAATGAATTCAATGCTTTTGGCAAGTGCACTAAGGACTGTCATGCTCAGTAAAAGAGGAACTCTCAAAGCTGCCTCCTAATCAGGAGGTTGCCAATTACGGGATGGACAGGAAGGCTGCTTTGACTAACTTCATGCTTTCATAGGAAGTTCAGAAAGCCAATAATTTGGCAAAGTAATGAAAACTCTATGTCTACTTTAGAATTCTAATAAAGAAAAGTGAACATCTAAACTGTCTGTTTATTCTTCATGAGATTTGAAAATTGTGGAGAGGCTCAATCTCTGAAAGAAATTATCTCTGAGTCTCTGAAAGATTAATCACCTGATCTATCATCTCAGCCAATCAGGCTCCCTTCACTGACCTCTCTAAAGATGGATAAACAGAAGGAAAAAGTTATCAGAGGGAAAAAGCATTTCAATGTTTATAAAGGTTGGCTTAATTCAAGGAAGCAAAGTGAATGAGACATTTGAGGCAAATACTACAAGTGAAAAAGAAAATGGGAGCAAGTCTAATTCAAATGGGTTAAAGAGATCAAAATAAAAGATTCCAGTGAATTAAAAGTGAAATAATCTGACATACAGAAAGTTTTCCTAGAAATGAAAAACATTCATTTCCAAAAATTTGAAATAGATTAAAGGAGACAGTGAAAAGCAGACTAGATTCTGCAGAAAGGCAAATCATAAGTTGTGATGACAAAGTAAGAAATTCTCTCTGATTCAGAGGAAACAAATGAGGTGAATAAATAGAGGAGAGGTTTAAAAAGACATGGAGGACATGTCTGGAATTATAGAACAGGGGCAAAGGGAAAATGGATAATAATAAAAATAGGCATTTACTGAGTGGTTACCATAGGCCCAGACCCTGTTCCAGTTTTTCAGCCTGTGTTTACTTTCTTAATTCTCATAACAATCTTAGAGGGTAAATTATAATATCTTCACGTTATAGTTCACGAAAATTAGGCATGAAGTGATTGTGGAATTTGCCCAAGGACACATAGTTCAGAAGAAAGGAGCTGGGATCTAAATCCAAGATTCTAATCATGATGCTATGCTGTCTTTGAAAATTAAATGAAGTATAAAACAGAAATGACTCAGTTTTATTTTCATTATCAGATTGAAAGGACTTTGTAAGTAACTTGATTGCTTCTCACTTCGGTGTCATAGTTTGGAAAGATTAATGTACCATGAGATTATTTAAATGTTGGGTTTATTTTCTATACTCTTATATTGGATAGCTTTTTTTAATACACCTGGACTAAATACTAGTGCATTATGTAAGCTAAAGGTAGTATATAATTATTTCTAAATAATTACATTATTATCCCAGGCAACTTACAGAATTTGACAAATTTTCCAGTGATTTGACCTGTCATCTCTATATGCTAAAGTTGGCAAATAAATATTTCTACTTAATTCTGAGTACATTTTATAATTAAAAATTGTTTATACAGTTATCGAGTTAACTGAGATTTTAAAATTCATTAATATCAGGTTGTTTATAGAGCTCCTTTTTACATATAACTATTTTCTTAGCATCTGTGGTCATACACAACTTTTTATTTGCAGTTTGCTTTGTTTATTTAGGATGGGCTTAAAGAGTTTGGCAGAGGGATTATGAGGGATCTTACCTACTTCATGAAGTTAAACTGGGGACTGGAAGGGATTTCTTCAAACTTCTTTTTGAAACCTTGTGTGAGATCCTGTACTGGTTCCTTGGGCTGGACTCACCCTCCCCCTATCAAAGCCATGTTTGTGGTCTTATATAACATAACATCTGCAGCCTGAAGCCTGGGGCTTAGTGGGCCCATGGGGCCATCATGATTCTGGCTTGCTTGCTCTGCCTTTCCCTGGTGTAAGTATTGTAACTATGGCATCCTGGCCAAGTATGTAAGACTCCAACTTAATCATGTGCAGTCAGACAGCAGAGACTGTTGAAAAAGATGACTTTCTCTTTATTTATACCACCATGGTATTCAGGATGTGCTCTCCAAGGAGAACTGGAGCCTGTAAGATGTGGATGAGTTGTGCATCAGTGGTGCTTGACAGTACAGTGCCTTACTTAGTCTTTCTACAGCTTCACCTAACTCTAATGACTGTCAGTTATTTGCAAGTATGGAAGGTCCCCGTGAGCTGAATGCCTGCAAATATTTAATGTATGTCATGCTGCTTGAGGACAAGATCAGCCACTATTCCTCTGCAAAATTCCTGGTCCAAGGTCCTGTGCTGAAGCTTTATGCAAGGTTGTTGATTGTTTAATTGTGTATCACAAGCAAAGAAATAAAGAGCCTGAATGGATAATGGTAGGCAATTAGCAAAACAAATTATTTGAGATACATCATGTGTAGTAGACAGAATTTTGGTCCCTGTAATCTCTGCTACCTTGGTGTTACTCCTGTGGTTATGTTGTGTTAAGTGGCAAAAGGGAATTTGCAGATGGGTTACTAGTTAGTTTATATTTAAATAGGAAAATTATCCTGGATATTTAGGTGGCCCAGTGTAAACACTCGAGGCCCTAAAAGCAGAGGAGGAAGGCAGAGAGGGGCAGTAGAAGGGGAAGCCAGAGATATAGGAAGCACAAGAAAGATTTGCCATTATTGTTGGCTTGAAGATGAAAGAGATACTCTGTCCAAAAACAGGAGCATCAATCCTACAATTGCAAGGAACAGAATTCTGCCCATAGCTAGTGAGCTTGGAAGAGGGTCCCAAGCCCCAGGTGAGAACTGCAGCCCCTGCCAATACTTCGATTTCAGCCTTGTAAGACCCTCAGAAACTGCAAGATAATAAATAGGCCTTATTTAAGCTGCTAAGTTTGTGGTAATTTGTTATGGCAACAATAGATAACTAACACATGATATGAAATACCATGAAAGGAAATGCCATGTATCTCTTAAAATTGTCTTGGAAGTAATCATGTGTTGAATTGCAAAATGAAATTCAAAGTATGACTCTGATGTGTAGAAAAAATGTACTTTTCTTAATTTTTATCTATAATTTATACAACCTTCTCTCTCAAGTCCCTACCCACAGGTTAGTGGGAAGAATGACCTGTGTTTAGTCTTGCTTTAAGCCTAGTCCAGGCTGATAACTTAAATGGTAACTTTGGGTAATATTGAGTCACTTTTTCATAAAAAATACTGTTTGTCTTAATTTCTTCCCCTCCTCATGCTTCCTTCTCTCAGATGGGAGGATATGTTTGAAATTGCATCCAGGAGGTGATTTAGGAGAACACATGGCATTGGACGGGAAAAATGATCCTCTAATCTTCATGGTGACTTTTAATTTATGCTTAGTCTGCTGGTCTTCAGGACAATATTCCTTCTGCCTGAACTGTTGGCCCCGCTGGCATTCAAGACAGAAAATTTTGACTAATATAAGTCATATGCCCATCATTCTCAGCTATGTTGGGCCTCTGTTCTCTTTGGCTGACTCTGCTGTGCCCACCTTGTGTCTCCCTGGCAGAAGAAGACTGACGTTTGGCTGGGTCTCTGCTGTGGTTCAGTTCAGAGGAAGTGCTTTGTGGCAGCTGCTAGAGACTCCCCTTGCTCCCTTCCTGGTGCCCTTCAACATGCTCCACAGCAGGACTCACAACATCTTTGAATCCCATGTCTATCACACGGAAACTAGGAATGGCTCAGGAAGAGCCACATCTCCCTGGTCAACAGGTCATGGCCAAACCTGAGATGAAGCAGGGCCATTTATCTGCTTGTCTCAATGCCTTTTTTTCTGTCTTTCTCTTTTCCTATTACGTCTCCTCTGTCATAGCCTCCTATCATCAAGAGAAAAGCTTTATGAATTTATTGTCCTGTGTAGAAGGTCTATCTCTGCCAAACTGTGGGAGAACTCTGTAAGTATGTATCTGTCAGGCACGGCCGCTGCAATTTTAAATAGAGGAGATAAAGAAATTTTGAAAATCCTGTCTCAAAATGCTTGCCTCTCAAGCTAATTTTCTTGTGGCAAAATCCTAGTTTTCTTATCAGAAGCTGATTATTGCTTTGTTCTTTCCATTTCTTCTGAAACATATGTTCAACTGCCTGCAGAAAGATGGATAAGGTAAGAGAGAGAACACATTAATAATGTTCAAAATATCAACACATTAGAATTACTTACTGTCTTCGATCCTATCTTATTAAAGAATAAAGTTATAAAACAGTGAAAAAATTGTAATCATATAGAAGAAAATTGAAAACCTGAACACAAAGTTAATTTCAATTGCATAGTAGAAGGCTTGTGGAGATTTTGGATTTATTTTTTGTCTCTTTTTTTTCCAATTTTTCTTCTGTGAATTTACATTATTTTTTATAACTTCACAAAAATAACGTATTATATTTAAAACTTAGGATACTTAATCCACATATTCTTCCTTCTTTTTTCCCCTTTTTGTTCTAATTTATTCCTTCAGTTACTTCCTCTGTCTCAGGTACCGAAGTGCCAAAATTGGTTAATCTTTTGCTCAACTTAGCGTCCTCATGCAATTTGAAGTTACAATTCAACATGAATTCAGAGATTTTCAGCATAGCTCTATGGCCCTCTCAGAATATTAATATTTCCAGCTTTTCATGTTTTTTGAAATGCATCATTATTCTATGATTCTATGTGTATTTGGCTTTATATTAGTTTAATGTTTTAATAGCTAAATACTTATAGCTCAGGTATGTAGTTTTAAAATAAGTATTTATTTCATTACTTTGATTATCCAATACTGTGTGAGATCAGGGTACCATCAGGAGACAGAACATACTAGTTATTTGAACAGAGATAATTTAACCAGACACTGTTAAGGATAACTAGAGCTGGACAGAAATTAAACCAGTGAGGATGGAGTCTATTAAAGAAAAACAAAACAAAACAAAAACTATTGCAGTAGCAGAAGAGAGATTCCAGTTCTATAGAAATAGAACTGGATTCAACTCCAAATATAATTAGAACAAAATGGAGATTTATAGCCAAGAAGCAAGTTGGGGATATGGGGAAATTGATAGCTGGAAAACTACTAAGAAGAGGAGACATCAAGTCTGGGGGGATTCTGGCTGAACTGGCCAAACGGGATTCCTGCTGAAGGCAGGGCAGGATGACCAGATACCATCTTGGAATAGTGGAGATGAAGAGTTTGATCAGATACCAAATATGAAGGTGAAACAGGAGAGTTCCCTGAGCCCCCTCACAGAACGTGCAACAGGGGTGCGGCTCATCTATTTAGTCGCCACTGCTGCTCAAACCCCTACGGGAGTGGGAGCATGCAGACGGACAGGTGCAAGAGCTCAAATGGGCATGCGTTACAGTGTGCTAAAAGATTAGCGTTGCCATCATGGATGATTTAAGTGTTAACCAGCCCAGTGGACCCTCTGCCTTTTTGCAAGGGCAGAGGGCCAGTGTGACAGCTTTCTGTATCCCGAGCTCTTGTTCAGCATCCCAGAAGAATTGGGTCACACATGGACCTGAAGGATGGTGAATGCGGGGATTTATTGGATGGTGGAGGTGGCTCTCAGTGGGATGGAAGCAGAGTTGGACATGGATGGAGTGGGAAAATGATCTTCCTCTGGAGTTTGGCTTTCCAGTGGCTGATTCTCCAACCGTCCCCAGCCGAACTCCTCCTGATGTTCAGACGCTCCTTCTCTCATTCTCTTCCACACCGTTCTGACATTCATCTGCTTGTCTGCTTGTCTCCTTGTCTGTCCCTGAAGCCTGGGGTCTGGGTTTTACATGGGTACAGGATAGGGGGTTTGGCAGGCCAAAAGGCAAGTTCTGGGTGCGAAAACAGGAATTTAGGGCCATGGGTATCCAGGTGTGAGGGTGGGGCCTTTGCTGGAGAACCACCCTCCTCTACCCAGTATTTCCCTGTCTCCTGTCTGTATCATAGGGTTGGGAGTTCTGCTAAGCTGACCTAGCAGGATTCATGCTAAAACTGGACTCCACAAAGAAAGTACATGAACAGGCCTGTAGAAGAGAAGATTCAGGGGAGTTTGACTAAGGTTTGGCCAAGAAAAGAATCTTAGTCAATACAAAGGTGTTTAGCAGGAAACTGAAACGGTAAAAAGCCAAATTTAAGATATCAGGGTAGTAGCAATTGTAGGAAACAACTGTCATTCCCAGGGCTGGGGCAGCAAAGGAAATAAATGAATTATTAAAACAATAACCTAAAAGAGGAGCCCTGCAAAGCTGAAACTCAGACCCCTCATGGCAGAGCACAGGCTGGCCTGCCTGGTGTCTGTAAGGTCAGGGGAGCGTGAGGCTGGTTTTGTAAGTGATGAAAAAATTGCAAACTGAATAGAGCTGCTGCCATTGCTGCTGCCAGGATAAAAAAAGAAAGATGTGGTTGTTGGTCATTCTAATGCTAGGCTGTCCAGAAACAAACAGGAAAGAGCAAATCTCCCTCTCCTCCAGCTAGCTTCCCTCTACTGTCCTCTTCTGGCAGAGCCTAACAGATACAGCTGGCAATGCAAGAATACAGTTTGCAGAGTTTCAGCTCCAGCATTACAGAGCTAGGTAAAGTTGGTGTGGAGCTGTGACAGTTACTTAATAACTGGCACAAATATAATATAATGAAAATATTTGTGTTTAAATAAAAAGAACTATCTTAAATTTCAAATAAATGTAGGATAAGAGTGTTCCTCCTCTCTTTATGAATTTGTTAAATCAAATTTAGCCTAAAGCTGCCTCCTTACATATTTAAAGTTTGACCTGAAATATTTTAAGTTTGTTACATTGTGAACTATAACAAGTGCAGGTGTAAAAAGACCATAGCCTACACTTGTGCCAATCAACAGATTTTGGCCAAGCAAATGTAGCCAACTATTTGAACTATGTTCAAATAAGGCAAATATCAAGCTGTAACGAATCCAGTTGTTTTTGTACCTCACTTCCATTTTTTGTATGTCATTTTCTGTTTCTATTTATAAATCTTCTTCTGCCACGTGGCTGCGCTGGATTCTCAGAGCCTACTCTGGCTTGAGAGGCTGCCCGATTTGCGAATAGTTCATTGCTTAATTAAACTCCTTTAAATTTAATTCAGCTCAAGTTTTTCTTTGAACAAATTTTATAACCAGTTGCATGACAGGAATGTCAATCTTTAAGAAATCAACTGCTATTTCTAATTCCCAAAAAATGTGAGATGCCACTATAGAACATGTTACCAAGATTGAGGCCAAAGACTAAATCATGTTTGTGGGAGGAACATCAACAGGAGGAGGAAGAGAAATTATGTACCTGAAATATTCAGTGTCAGCAACATTTACTCTGTGACTTTTATAAGAAGGTGAATATGGAGGAATTCTAGAAATTTAAGTTATTCCCAAACTCATATTCTGTGATGCCATGACATACTCACTCAAGTCTTTGTAAGGATCGTTTTTGGAGTGATGTAAACTACATTAATTTGTTCTTAGTGCTAACTGTAGACAGTAGTATGTCATTATGCCAATCAATTGTATTCAAAACAATTCCACAAATGTTTATTGAGAATTTTTCAAATTGCAAGGAATCATGATCAGCAACCATATTCAAGGAGCTTAGAAACTTTAAAAAACCTTTTGACATACTACTTTTGTAGAAGTAAAAGAGAAATTTATAGGTTTATAATAAAAATAATAATTTTCAACTCTCCCTCTCTGTCCCAGAAAGAGAAGGCTAATTCACTAAAGACTCTTAGTCAGTAGAGAAGGCATCACAGTTAAATCTGCATAGTACATCTTACTCTTGTTTTACGCTTAGATAGGCCTTTCCCCACTCCTTTCTTTCTTTGTTTCAAAGAACAATGGATATTTGAACCTAAAGTCTAAGAAATCTCTTTGAAAATCTACTGTAGTGATTTAGTAATTTTTTCTGTGTTATCTGCCATGTATGCAGGAGGCATGCATGTTATTAAACTTCTGTTTGATGTTCTCTTGTTAATTTGTCTTTTGTTACAGGAAGTCCCAGCTAAGAACCTATGAAGGGTGGAAGGGCAAATTATTTTTCCATACCAACAGTTCCTTTCTCATAGAACCACAGGGAGATACTTTGAGTCCTGTGCTGAAGTACACAAGACAAATTTTGTTACTAAGTAGAAGTGTTACAGAAAAGGGGTCCTGATCCAGACCCCAAGAGAGGGTTCTTGGATCTTGCGCAATAAAGAATTCAGGGCTAGTTTATAGAGTCAAATGAAAGCAAGTTTATTAGGAAAGTAAAGGATTAAAGAATGGCTACTCCATAGACAGAGCAGCCCTGAGGGCTGCTGGTTGCGCATTTTTATGTTATTTCTTGATGATATGCTAAACAAGGGGTGGATTATTCATGCCTCCTCTTTTTAGACCATATAGGGCAACTTCCTGAGGTTGCCATAGCATTTGTAAACTGTCATGGTGCTGGTGGGAGTGTAGCAGTGACAACGACTAGAGGTCACTCTTGTCACCATCTTGATTTTGATGGGTTTTGGCCGGCTTCTTTACTGCAACTTGTTTATCAGCAAGGTCTTTATGACCTGCAACTTATGCCAGACTCCTTCCTATTGTATCCTGTGACTTAGAATGTCTCAACTCTCTGGGAATGCAGCCCAGTAGTGTTACCAGTGGAGGGTGTCCAGGTTTTTGGCATCTTGAACAAAGAATTGGGCAAAACACACAAAGCAAGGAAGGAATAAAGGATTTATTGAAAATGATAGTACACTCTACAGTGTGGGAGTGGGCCCGAGCATAGGGGCTCAAGGACCCCATTACAGAATTTTTGGGAGTTTAAATACCCTCTAGAGGATTCCATTGGTTACTTGGAATACGCCCTATATGAAGGGAGAGGATGAAGTAAAGTTACGAAGTCATTTACTCCACGTAAGCCCTATGGAGAGGGTATTTCCTGTCATAGCTGAAGCGTGAATTGGCCTTATGTTCCCTGCATCCAGACCCTAGTTTCCTGCCTCAGTAGGTCTCAGCCTCATTTTACCCAGCCCCTATTTAAGATGGAGTTGCTCTGGTTCAAACACCTCTGACAGAAGTAACAATAATGAATGAGATAAACAACAACAAAAAATGTTTATTTTAGAATAAACAAAGATTTGTTATTGAACCACATGGCTTATTTTGCAGTGACACCTCTGGTTACTTGCTACAGTTAAATATGAATTCCATGGCAATGGAGAAAATGCAAAATAATGAGCTCATTGGAAACTAAAATACTAACTTCTTTTATAAGCTCTAGCTAAATTATCTTTCTACTTATTTCCCCCCCACCACCACCGCAAAAAAAAAAAAAAATACATCCGAAGTCTTAGCACCAACTAATAAAGGACTTCCTTTGGCATTTACCCGTTAAAAGATAAAGTTTGATTTCCCTCATGATTTTTAAGCCTGTAAAATAAAGTAAGAAGATAAGGCACATTAAATATCACATGGAAGTTTTAACACACAAAAAAATCTTTGCTTGAATTTGGTGTTCTTTCTTTTGTCTACAGTTCAAGTTATCTAAGAAATCCTTTTCTTTGTAAGAAGAAATATATACATATTCTGAAGTTTACTCTACAGTCGAAGAGTTTAAACTTGTAAATGAAAAATAAAAAAAGCAAACCTAAAGAACTGCTACTCCACACCAAACCAAACAACTCTTGAAGGACAACAAAAACAGGAAAAGGGAGCATAGCTAAACTTTTACCTTTACTACTAAATCAATGATAATGAAACTGTTTCTTCAGCACAAAGATTAAAGTGTATAAGTCTCTCAGTGCAACTGAAACCGCCTTTGCAAAAATCGTATCAGTAAGAAAAATTGTTATAGTAAGCTAAGCTAACCCACCCCCCATGTTGCCTTTCCCTTAATTTTTCCTGGGTTATTGGGCTGAACTAACTTTGCAAGATGTTTAGGCTACAGTGTAAACCATAATAGGTCTTGCCCAAAACTCAACTGCTTTTGTAATGCTAATGGGAGGTCAGCAAGCTGGGAGGTGAAACAGAGCCTGAGTTCTGCCAAGGTGCAGACATAAATGATTGTCAGCCATTATTCCAGAGGTTTTAAGATATGCAATTTTACCAACTACTCCTGCAAGTAACACCACTATTGTAGATTGGCCTTTTGAGATCTTTCCAGGTTTTTTACGATATAAACAAAAGGTATTTCGAGAAAGGGGGTAGAAAAGGCATCTCCATGATCCCCAAGAATTTATTCTCAAAAATGGGCTTAAGATAACAAGAGATGCCAGGCGTGGTGGCTCAGGCCTGTAATCCCAGCACTTTGGAAGGCTGAGGTGGGCGGATTACCTGAGGTAAGGAGTTCGAGACTAGCCTGACCAGCATGGCAAAACCTCGTCTTTACTAAAAATACAAAAATTAGCTGGGTGTGGTGGTGGGTGCCTGTAATCCCAACTACTTGGGAGGCTAAGGCAGGAGAATCATTTGAAGCTGGGAGGTGGATGTTGCAGTGACCTGAGATCACGCCATTGCACTCCAGCCTGGGTGATAGAAAAAGACTCTGTCTCCAAAAAAAAAAAAAAGAGAGAAAATAAAAAAAGATAGCAAGAGATGACAAGAGCCCTATAGGGATGGGACCTTTTCAGACAAAATTCACCCAAGGGCTCAACACATTCATGATGAAGAGTGTGCTCACTCATCTCTGACTCCCGGTCCTGACATGGCCTCGAAAATTCCTGCGCTCTGGATGGTGGAGCTCAAGAGAGAGTACCCTCACATGGTCACAAAGTCACGCTCTCAAGGATGTAAAACAAGAGGGAGACCACGTTTGGTTTTTGTTTCCGGGACCCACAGCAAAGTTTGTAATTGACCAGTCTGATAGGCTGGCTTGAACAGTGGGCTTATATGGGTCCTAAGCCCATGTTCTATCCTGTGGTACCGTTCTTTGTGACAGAACAGCATAGAAAGACAAATTCATAGCACAAGGTACATCAGATTCACTACAGCCTCAGACTAGCCTCATAAATCCTTTTTCTCATTAGTAAACAGTGATTTCTTAACATTCACTCAACCAGTTTGCACAGAAAGAGCGAGAGGATAGAAGCCTGACTGGTAAGAAATTCTTACCCTTTGCCAGCATGCCAGGTTTCTGGGTTCCCTTTCCTGAGTGGCCTTAGTGACCCTGCTGGCTGCACCGTAGTTGTAAAGGAAAATTACTTTTTTTCTGTTTCATGGAACGATAGGCAAAACCCTCTCGATTTTACAAGATGTTACCAAACGGGCTGCATGGGGGAACCAAGTTAACATTTTCCATCCCAGCTGACATAAAATACTGTAACAAAACAGACACTAGTCACCTTGCTTAGTACCCAATATTAACCTAGCAGGGTTCAAACTTGCCCCCATGAGTCCCTATTTTCTTTGATCCCCTCAAAGAGGGGAGGGATAACTTCCAACCAGAAATGCAGGACTATGGACAAGATGAAGGAGCAAATGGTCACCTCGAGTCAGGCCTGTTGTGCTTCCATTAACAATTCCTTCAGGGTTCATTGAATGTGAACAGACTTAAAGAGGGTTCTTTGATTTAGGCCTGCTGACCTTCATCACCAATTTCTTTAGAGATCCCCTCCACATGTACAGACACACACACAAAGGTAAGACAGACAGGAGGTCTTCCAAACCAAGATCCCTAAACAAGAATTTCATGAGTATTCCTTCAAACTAAACTCCTGTTCTCCATGTGAGCAATCTCCCCAAAACTTCTCAATTGAGGAAAAATCTCCTGAACCAAGACTATTCCTACTATTCAGGTAGAGCCAACCAAGACCTCCAAAGAAGCTGAACCAAGACCCCTAAGGAGCTGAACCAATCAGGAGAAGGAAGGAGATGTTGGCAGCACCTAGAATACCCACCAGACCAGTTTAAAAACCTCTTTCTAGGAACGATTTCTCTCCTGCAATTAAATCCATGCATCATGGGTGGGCAATGCCCCACAGGTAGAGATGGTGCCAGAGTCAGTCTCCAGTCTAGGCAGCCACTTGGGCTGGCCTCTAGATTCTTTGCTGGTGGGGGGCTACTGAACTGCAGCCAGGGAGCCACAAGGGCAATTCTGGACAAGCCTCCAAATTTGTAACCATCTGAGAGGTTATTTCTGCCCACTGCATAAAGGAAGACCCCAGCATTGTAGTAGAGAAAGAGTTTTATAGACATGAGGCTGGCCATACCATGGTGATTATGCAGTAATTCCTTTCTCAGAGTGAACAAAGAAGATTGATAAATAACAATAGGAATAAAAACAAAGGATATTACTTAGTAGTTTAGTAATTTAGCATACTTATGCAGTTGTACTTAGTAATTTAGCGTACTTAGTAATTTAGCGTACTTATGCAGTTGTGTATGTAAGTATCAAACACAGTAGTGAGGATTTAGACTTTGTTATGTTAGTACTGATGTATTAAGCAAGTGATCTTTTAAGAAAGAAAATGCTATTTTTAATCATGTAACCAATTCAGAAACAGTTGTGTTGACATAACTTTAGGTCCTCATATCTTTACTTATTAAGTTTTTCATTCTTTGATACTGTGAACCAAAAATAAAACACTAAGCTCCCAACTATTGGAATGGACCCCTCCTTTTGGCCAAGGACATTCCAAAGTTAACCTGAAAAACTAGTTCAGACCATAATGGGAAGGGGGAATGGGATGTGCCTGAAAACCATTAACATCAACACAGACATTAAGACTGATGGAACAGACCCTTTAAGTCTGATAAGAAACATTTATAATCTATTCTCTCTGCAGCCTGCTACCTGGAGGCTTCATCTGCATGATATGAGCCTTGGATTCCACAAGCCCTTATTGTAACCCAGATCTTTCCTTTCTATTGATTCTGAGTCTTTGGATAATATTTCAACCAATTGCCAATCAGAAAATCTTTGAATGCACCTATAAATCTTTGGATACACTTATCACCTAGAAGCCCCTGCTTCCAGTTGTCCTGTCTTTCCAGACTGAACCAATGTACATCTTATATGTACTGATTTATGTCTTATGTTTCCCTAAAATGTCTAAAACCAAGTCTTAGCCCTTGGGCAACATGTGCCCACCTTGGGCACATGTTGTCAGGACCTCCAGAGGCTGTGTCACAGTCATGTCCTTAACCTTGGAAAAATAAGCTTTTTAATTAATTGAGACGTGTCTCAGATATCTTTTGATTTTACAATACTCATTTCTACCATCTAATAAAAATGATAACAATAAGTAGCATCCATTGAGGGTCTTACTAAGAACGAGGTCCTGTTCTAACTCATTGCATCTATTATCTAATTTAATTTCCATATCTGTTCTCATTAGCTTATTTAATAAATGTTTATAGAATGTCTACAATATGGCTTATACTTTGCCAGGTCCTGGTGAACCACTGGTGAGGAAAAAAAGGAAGGAAAATATAAAAACAAAAATCTAGTTGTATCTTTTACAGTGTTGCAGGACTTTTCCTTAGTTCAGCGAAAGACGGGGTCCCTGTCCGTCCCACAACCATGAAAATGTAGGCTCACAGATGGTTTGAAGGGTGAGTAAAGCAGGGTTTTGTTGGGTGGAAAGGAAGAAAAGGGGGAAACGGGGACTCTCGCTAGGCCAGAGTACCTGCTAGAGCACTTCCTGCCTGCAGCTTGAATTTCAGGTTCCACACAGGAAGAGGAGGGGGCAGGCTCCTCCCCACTGCAAACAGCGAATGTCCTGAGGCTCCACCCAAGTGCGCAGTCCAGTTGGAGTTTTTTAGGGCCCCCCCTCAACACCTGGCCCCCACCGCCAACCTGGCTGTCTCATTCATTCCTGTAAAGAAGTACATCTAACTGCTGTTAGATTAAGAATAAGGAGGAAGAAAGATCTTAACTGCTTCCTGTTGACAGGGGGCACTGTTTTGGGGGAAAAAAGCAGTCAGAGATCCCTCAGAGGCCTAGTTAAGAGTCCCCAGCCAAAGGGGCCATCGCCCAAGGCTCTGGTTGTATTACCGTTTGGAGTTTGATGGCCTGAAGGCAAGAACAGACAAACCGGGTTATCAGAAAACATGTATCAAAATGAAACAAAGGGGAGGTAAGGACAGATAAAAAATTCTGAGGCCTTTTACCAGTTTGCACAGGGAGAGGGAGGCCAAAACTTTGGCAAAGAAACTTTACTCTTTTGCCGGCATGTTGCGCTTCTGGGTTCCCTTCCCCTGAGCCCAATCCTAAACCAGTAAGTTTAAGATTTGGGAAACTGGCCAGGTCCGGTGGCTCAAGCCTGTAATCCCAGCACTTTGGGAGGCTGAGGCAGGCGGATCATGAGGTCAGGGGTTCGAGACCAGCCTGACAAACATGGTGAAACCCCATCTCTACTAAAAATACAAAAATTAGCCAGGCATGGTGGCGCGTGCCTGTAATCCCAGCTACTCAGGAGGCTGAGGCAGGAGAATTGCTTGAACCTGGGAGGCAGAGGTTGCAGTGAGCTGAGATCGTGCCACTGCACTCCAGCCTGGGCGACAGAGTGAGACCGTATCTCAAAAAAAAAACAACAAAACAAAAAAACTTTGGGAAATCAACTCTTTCCAGTTTGGAGGATGCATCTGAGGAGAGTGTCCCATATTATGGAGACACAATTACCTATTAGTGAAGAGAGAACTGAGAAGGAGGGAAGAAAATAGAAGGCATTCTTTTTCAAAGGAGTCCCAGAGGTTTATGCTGCATTCAAAAGGGGTACAGACTGAAGATTAATGGCTGCCCATCTAGAAAGATGGGAGCAGGCATCCCCAGTTCCTTTCTATTCCTAGCAGATACCCAGAGTATGTAAGGGAGAGGGAAAGAGCGTCCTTTTTCCTTCTTCCATCCTTGCATCCCTGAGTTCTGGTGACTTTGGCAGGCGCCGCCACGGGTGTAAAGGCGGCCTGCACCCATGAAGTGGGGAGGGCCTAGAGAATAGGAATTATCTGCTCTGACCTATGCCTCTTTCCCCGCTGCTGTCAGTAGCCTTGGAGTTATCTAGACCTCATTTATGCCGTGGATACTAACGCGGCCTTTATCCATGAAGCAGGAACGATGGGATTGGCTTAATCGGCAGCAATCAGCCACACTCACCTGTGCTGTGTCTTTTAACCTCTGTTACCATTTGCCTCTGGATTCCTCAGATCCAGTTTTCTTTCCTAGGGCTTTGACCTAAAGCTTGGAATTGAGTCTGGGATAAAAATGTATCTCAGGGGGTTGCATTCACTCCTTATCATAAGCCAAATGCTAAAGTGAAACTGTGGACCTGAGTCCTCCTCCAAAAAAAGAGAGGAAAGCATGTCTTGTGACGCACCCAGATAACTGGTAGCTATAGTTATGCTTGCTAGGATTTGGGTGCAAGGTGCTTGGCTCTGGTTCGTCCCCTTGGTCTTACTTTCCCAAAAAGAAATCTCTGAGTTTATTTATTTATTCCTATCACCTGGCAAGATTTGCAGGAATACTGATCCAGATTTTTACATTACCCACCCCTTTTGTTCTTTCTGAGCTGCAGCTGGAGATTTCTGGTTGGTTCACAGGAACAAGCAGGGTTAGTCTAAAATGTAGGTAACAACTTAAAAACTAGTGAGTTTAGAATTTAATGACAAATTCATAGGTTTTGAAACATAATTTTTCTCTCTCTAGTCCTCATTTTTGCTAAAAAAAAAAAAAAAAACCCAAGTCTTAATAGGACCGAGTCGTTTGCAAAATATACTTTAGTCTTATACTTGGCTTGATTATTTGCATAAAGTACAGCAAGAATAATTATTTCTACATAGGACTTTTGGATTGGCTTTGATGGAAGTTTGTTCCACAAGGAATCTCAGATAAGACCTTTTAAAGCTGAGCCCACCCATGGGTTTGTATCCTCAAACACCTGTGAGTTGGGTGATTCTCTCCTCTTAAGGTCCCAAGATAAACTTGGAGCTCCTAGACCTGTTAGAAAGTGACATTCTTTGCTGATCACGGGTCAGGAACCCTGTACAGGGACTGTATAGGCAAGGGTATGAGGCCACTTTCCCCACTGGGCTTTTATTGGCTCTGCAAGTTGAGATTGACTCCTTAAAGGGACACATACCCTTCCAGTCAAAGCCTTGGTAAAATAACCACTTTCTCCAATTGTGTTCTGTTGCAAAAGAAAAATGAATTCTTATTGCACTGATGCAAACAACTGTATTGCCATAAGAATACTCACAGATAGTTTCCAAATTCTAGAGGAAACAGGCAGAGAGAAACAAACATGCTCTAAATTTTGTTCATAGGAGTATACCTTACTCAATTATCGAAGGCTGTAAATAGCTTAAAATAAGTTTCTTTGACTTTGAAAAACAAAACAAGGATCAGTAATATTTTAAGCAGAAGTCAAAAAGATTTGCTTCAGCTTTCTGAGTTCAGTCCATTTAATTAACTCTTGTTTTGCTTGGTATTAATGAACATTTCAGCTCTTTATGAGTCCCATACATTTTCCTTTATTCCAATGTTACAATCTCTAAAGTTATCAGCTAAAGATGGGGTCCTTGTCCGTCCCACGGCCATGAAAATTTAGGCTTGCTCTCTATTTGAAGGGTGAGTAAAGCAGTGTTTCATTGGGTGAAAAGGAAGAAAAGGGGGAGACAGGGACTCTCACTAGGCCTGAGTCCCTGCTAGAGGGCTTCCCACCCACAGCTTGAATCTCAGGTTCCACACAGGAAGAGGATGGGCCAGCATCCTCCCCGCTGCAAATGGGAAACGTCCTGAGGCTCCACCTAAGTGCGCAGGCCTGTTGTAGTTTTTCCAGTGACACTCTCCTACCTGGCTGTCTCAATAGGGCTTACAGCCTGGTACTTGCCTTGTGGGGCAGACACTATCATAATCCCACATTTATAGAAGAGAAAAAAAGATACAGAAAGACAATATGCATTGCTCCAGGTGACCCCATGGAAGGTGTTGGGGCTGAGGTTCAACTCAGGGCTCTTTGTGATGCCTTCCTGTAGCTGGACTGCCTCCAAATATATTATTCTACCTCTGAGCCCCACCTAAGCTCTACTGTTCTTCCCTCTACCACCTGCCCTTGCTTAATACTTCCTATGGTGCAGCCTTGAACCATTGTGTGCTTTGGTTTCTATTGAGGGCATGTCTGTCTCCCCAGTGGATTCTGACTTCCCAAAGGCAGGTGTCATTTAAATGCATAATCTTCACCTCTATCCCTACTACCAATTTGATGCTTGTTAATACTGCCCATTGAGGAGTAGGGTTTTACTCAGTGCAGGATATTGGAAAGAATGCCAGATTTGAAACAGGAGTAAGGCCGTAGGCTGTGATGTCACACAGGCAGGTGTTGAAGTCATGCTCTGTCCCTTCCCATGTGTAAGACCTTAAGGAAGCTACATAGACTTAATTTATTAATCTTTAGGCTGATGAATGTAATGTGTTAACATGTAATAAAACTAGTTTACATTTAAAAATTTTTTTCCAACTCTGACTCATGAAACACAAAGCCTAGGCTGAGTGGTGTGGACATCAATCCACCCTGATTACCACAGGTATCTGAAGTAGGTTAGTGGAGTGTAGTGGAAAGATCACTGCAGTGTGGTCCCTGGACTAGCAGAACTGGCAACACCTGGGAACTTGTTAGAACTGCAAAAATCTTTGGCCCAGCAACCAGTGGTTCAATTAGCCCTCCAGGTAATTCTGATGCACTGCAAAGCTTAAAACTCACTGCTGTACTGAAAGCCTACCTCTGTGACTTTGGATCACCTGTTTCCTACTCTCTAGGAATCAGTTTACAAACTGATAAAATGCAGGGGTAGAGTGTGTGGTTATTAAGGCCCTCTTACCTTTGACAGTTTATAATTCTGCTCTTAATAACTGCTGATAAATGTATTAATAAATCTTATATGCCAGGCACTTTGTCAGCTGTATGATGCATAGTATTTGAAATAATCATAGGAAACCTACAAAATATAAAACTGAGGTTTAGGCAATGTATGTAACTTGTTTAGGTACACTAAAATAGCTCATTATGGAGATAGAACTAGAATCCAAAATTTTGGTTTCTAAAACTGTTTGCTAAATCACTTTGCTACAAAAACCAATGAATATGCATGTCAGCGTTGCTGACCCATTTTGTAAATTCAGAATTTACAGTCAGGAACAATGTACTGTGTTTTTCTTGACTTTTTACCAAATTTCCAATAGATTGAACTAAAACTGCTAGTACAAGTTTCCAGTAAGGAATAGATGCAAACCAAAACTCAAATATCTTTGTGTTTTGGTGATTGATATGGTTAGGCTTTGTGTCCCTATCCAGATCTCATCTTGAATTATAATTCTCATAATCTCCATGTCTCAAGGGAGAGACCAAGTGGAGGGAATTGAATCATGTTTTCCCCCATGCTGTTCATGTGATAGTGAATGAGTTTTCATGAGATCTGATGATTTTATAAGCATCTGGCATTTCCCCGGCTAACACTCACTCTCCTGCTGCCTTGTGAACAAAGTGCCTGCCTCTGCTTTGTATTCCGCCATGATTGTAAGTTTTCTGAGGCCTCCCCAGCCGTGCTGAACTGTGAGTCAATTAAACCTCTTTTCTTTATAAATTACCCAGTCTTGGGCATTTCTTTATCGCAGCATGAGAATGGACTAATACAGTGATAAAATCCCTTTTTTTGTATAGAATTTTTCTACCCAAAATAACATCCCCTCGTATGATTTTGTGCTATGTGGAGTAATGCAAAAATTCAGATATGCCCATTTAATTTTTTATTTTAATTTATCACTTTAATACTAAGAAGTCAATTCTAATCACAATTTTTAATATAACAAGGCAAATTTTCTGGATATATTACCAGGTAAATCATCTAGAGGTGTAGTTTGGAAAATGCAGTTATGGCTATGACTCATGGATTCATTCTTAAAATGAAACAAGAAGTGTTTTTCTCTCTCCATCATCTTCTAGGTAGGTTTGGCTGGCATTAGCCAGCCCTTTGACAATCTGTTTTATAAATGTCATAATATTAATAACTTTGAATAAAAATCAAGGAAACTTGCATTTGATTTTTTATTTTCTCTAAGTCTTTATTTCTTATTTGTAAAATAATAATATTTTTAAAATCCCCATTTATTTCCCAAGGGTTTAGTGAAAAACAAGTATGATAATATTGGAGATACCGTTATTTGTGAGGTACCTGATCTTTTTCAATCTTTAGTACTTGACGTGTAAGGAACTTATAGAGTTGTTATAAAGAAACACATTTTACAGGCATATACAACACAGTTTTCAGCACAAAAAGGAGTGAATACATATTTTATTTAAAAGGTCAGATAAAACAAATGGACTCTTTATATTCATCTGTATCTTCAGCTTTTGAAAATATTTTACCTTTTAGTAGAATTTTATCTTCTGTGCATTTTGATTTATTTTCAAGTTTCATCACTTGAAAGTTTCAGTGATTTTCAAATGTTAATGTGATGTTTACTATATGCTAGACACTGGGCTAGATTCTGGGAACACAATTATATGCAAAACAACAACTACAAAGAGCTTATTGTTCAACGATTTAAGCAAATTAATATATAAAAATTCAATTATTACCAAGTATGGTAAGTCCCATTTAAAATTACCAAGTATGGGTAAGTCTCCAGATGAGAACTGGATGGATTATACTGATACATAGATGACATAACAGGATTTGGTGAGAGTTTTATTGTGAGAAGTGAGGGAGAGTGAGAAACCAAGAATCACTTGGCTTGGGAGGCAAGGTAGAGACAGTGGTGTCACTCAGTGGGACAGAGATTTTGGAGAGCATATTTGCACAGTAAAGTGATGTATTCAGTATAGAACCCATTTTTTTTCAGGTGTTTTTAAGACACCTGGCTGGAAGTGGCTCAGGTGGTAATTGATTTGTATGACTTGAGTTCCAGAGATAGAGAATTTTAAATTGGGAATTAATATTTAGGAATCATCAGTATACAGACAATACCATTTTCATCTTCATAGTCCTAGTCCAGCAGCTATAGAACTCTCTTCATGGAAGATATATAGTTGCAATGTATGAACATATCAACATTTTTAGTCGACATTCAGGGGTTCCTATTTAAACAGATAAGCATGCTATTCCAATCATGAAACCTGAAGAGAGTTAATCCATTATCTTTCATCATTCAGATATGGATTTATGTAAGAGCAGGGTTATGTTCTCACACAAACTGAGAATTCACTCAAAAGATGGATTGGGGTCACACACGCTAAAAGAGAAATCTTTACCTGCTTTTGTGAATGCTTCCTCTTTATCGCAACTCAGCAATCTTAGAGAAAATAAGGCTTAACAAGCAAGTCGTTGTTCAGATGTTGAGGAGGCAAAGTTGGGTCGATATTTTAATTTGAGTCTTACAATTATGGATGCAGATAGCATTTCTTGACACTGTGCTGATTCTTAATAGAATGCTCAACACACATTTCATTTTAGATCAGTTCTTGAAGATCCATATAATATATAAAACCAAAATTGCTCTCCTTAAAAATCTGAATTTTCATGTTAGAGTTTCTGAGCTCTATCATTTCTCTCATCGTTCACCTCTGCCTTGTTCAAACATGCTCCATCTATTTATCCCCTATTTATCCCTTAAGACTTGCTTAATAGCATTAAGATAGTTTTACATTTATTATGTCTTAAGAGTAAACATTATGTCTTTTCAATGATTATCTTTTTTCAATCTTTACTTACAATTAAAATAACAAAAATAGTAACATAAAATTAAAATTAAAAATAAAATGACAAATTCCATGTTTGGGCTTTACTCAGGTGCATCTAGTTTTAACTAGTATCAAATTAACCTTCTTTTTAAATATAACTTTCTTCTCTCCAGATAGAGTGACTGCAGTGAATATCTTTGGGTGAAGCCAATTTTCTTCTTTGCAGTTGTTTCAGGTAGCAAATTAGGAGTCAATTGCTGGATCAAAGAAACCATCACTTGAATTTTTATAATTCTTTCCAAATGTTTGAACCATTTTACAGTGCCACCCACTTATTGATTTTAGGAGCAATTATTTTGTAGCTTTCAAATCCATTTCCTCACAAATTCCATTTCTCTGCCTTGCTGATTTTCAAATTTATAGGCATAGATGCAAATGTTTAAGATAATTTTGTTACATTGCTATTAAAGTGTTTTTATGGGAGATAGAAGGAAGGTATGAGAAGAGTTTTGTTTCATTTTAGGTGCTAGAAACAAGGATAATATTAAAAATAATCAACAGCTCATTTGATATAGATATTGCATAATTAAAAGTAGTATCTGATCAATCAGAGTGAACAGCAAGGTGAAAAACCCATACAGTTAGATTAGTGCATCTGAATGAATATCAGTCCTAGCTAGGAAGACAGACAATGAGCTGCTAATTTAAATATAGTTGAGACACCATAACTTGGATTCAGAAGCTTACCCTGAGATATTTAACTTGAGTTGCTAGTCACTTCATCATTAACTGCCAACTACTACAACTATTAGACTTTGAAAAGATGAGGAACTTGAACAGTTAACAGAAACTGAGAAGATTCTCACTCTTAGTTATAAGCAGATAAATGTAATTCAAAAGAAATCTAATTTTATACCCAATATTGGCAAAGATTGGAATGTTGAATAATTTCTGGTGTTGACCAAGATATAGAGAAAAAACATGTTACAGCTATTGAAAGTGTAAATTCATACTGTCTTTTGAGAGAGCAATCTGGCAGTACTTAGAGAAATGAAGAATGGGTATTCCATATGAGCCAGGCTCCCACTCACTCAGGTCATAGGCAGACAAGGGTGAGAATGCTTATCATGACACAGTTTGAGATGAGCAACAGAGGTGCCCACATTCATTATAATGAATAATAAAAATGGGATGCATGGATATAAAGCCATATGGACAGATTTTAAAATACAATGTTGTGTGAAGCTATTAATAAATAGAAAAAGGCCTATAGCACAATGTCATTTATGTAAATTAAAATGTTTTATTTAAAATAACAAAAGGTGAATTATAAAATGTTAAATAATTAATCTCAATACACTGTATTTTTATTTTGCAATCCAGTATAAATTACTATCCTCATACTTTAAATATTTTTCTTTATCCCTAATGTGAAAAGTAATTTTTAATTTTTAGATTTCATTGTTTTCTAAGAAATCTGGAGAAGAAGCTTATTTGATAGTAGAAATGGTTTAAACGATAAAAAAAGATAAAATGACAAAATGCATAATTGTATGTATGTATATATAAAGAGAGATTACAATTAGATTGATAAACAGAAATCATCAAATTTCCCTCCAGATGAGCCTTTACCAAGGTCATGCATCCAGCATCTTCTTTTTATGGGATGGAAAAAGTAGGGCAGGAAAGGTAGTGGGGACTGGGTTGGAGGGGTACAATAAAATGCAACAATTGGGGCATATAACATGCAAATGTGATAATAGTATTCTTTAATCTAAGCAGTATGATTAACTCAACTGTTTCTACTGAGATCAAAGTAGAAAGAAAGAAAACGAAGAAAGGAAGGAGTCAGGGAGGGGCAGAGAACAAGACACAGAGAGAGAGGAAGTTTGGCAGGCATAAAGACAGATGCAAGGGAATAAATAAAGAAAAGTGAAGCAGTATTTTCTTTTTTGGAGGCAGTGGACTGTACATAAAAATTAAATTTAGTACCTCAACAGGGTAGTTGCAAAAATTTTGGAAGGGAAGTAAAAAGCAAAACTGGGAAAACATATTTGCAAAATATATAATAGTCAAAGGGTTATTTTCTTTGGCATATTAGGCAATCCTACAAGTTCACAACTCAATAGCAAAGAACATTTATAGTATAGACAGTTCACAGAAGGACTACAAATAGCTAAAAATTATATTAAAAATTGCTAGAATTATTCATAATGAAAGTACTGTAAACAAAACAATAATTTGATTTGTTCACTTATTAAACTGTCGCATATTACCAAGTTTTATAATGCCCAACACTGGTGAATGGAAGAATTCTAGAAATTTCATATTCTGTTGAAGAGAGTATATAATTAATACAGCCTCATTTAAAGGACAATTTGACCATATCATTCAAAATTTAAGATGTGTTTCTATTTGACTCACATGTCTTAGAAATTATCCTATGCATTTATTAACATGTGGAAATACATATGTATTTATCATCTGTGTAATTTGGGTAATTTCTTTAACTTCTATGTGCGTCATTTTCCTTATTTGGGTAAAACTGAGGTAATAATAGTGACTACTTCATAAAGTTGATGTGAGGATTGAATTATTGACATGTGGCTGGGTGTGGTGGCTCATGCCTGTAATCCCAGCACTTTGGGAAGCTGAGGCAGGAGGATCACATAAGGCCAGGAGTTTGAGACCAGCTTGGCCAACATGACAAAACCCCGTCTTTACTAAAAATACAAAAATTAGCCAGGTGTGGTGGTGCCTACCTGTAATCCCAGCTGCTTGGGAGGCTAAGGTGGGAGAATTGTTTGAACCTGGGAGGTGGAGGTTGCGGTAAGCAGTAAGTTGCAGTTGCACTGCACTCCAGCCTGGGAGACAGAGCCAGACTCCATCTCAAAAAAATTAAAAAAAATAAATATTGACAGGTAAGTCACTTAGAATAGTAACTGGAACATAGAAATAATAACATCAACAATAATATTATGATGATTACTACTGCTCCTAGTAGTTATATTTCTTGCAAGAATATTTTTATATTTCTAAT
The DNA here is from genome assembly GCF_000001405.40 of Homo sapiens. Taxonomy (NCBI): domain Eukaryota; kingdom Metazoa; phylum Chordata; class Mammalia; order Primates; family Hominidae; genus Homo; species Homo sapiens. The sequence goes on from NC_000010.11 coordinate 80,962,651, forward strand.
ACTAAAAAGGTACTAAAAATTAATTTTTATCAGTAGAATTCTAGTAAAGTAATTATAATGTATCCATCCAATGGCATACTGTATATGGGTAGTGAAATGAACATTTTCAATATCACATTATTAAGTGAACAAAGGAAAATGCAGAACAGTGCATATTGTATGCTTGCATTGGTATGGAAAAGAAATGTATGTATTTCTGTATATCTACGAGACTTTATAATTGTTGATGAGGGTTATTCATTCTTTAAACTGTGTGACTTCTTTTTTTATATTTATTTATTGTTATTTAAAAAGGAAAGTATTTTTCATAGAGACAAGGTTTTGCCATGATGCCCAGGCTGGTCTCAAACTCCTGGGCTCAAGTGATCTGTCTGCCTTGGCCTCCCAAAGTGCTGGAATTACAGGTGTGAGCCATGGCACCTGACCCAAACTGCTGGAATTCTTAAGTTCTTTGTCATTTTTATAATGGTGAAAAAACTGTCATAGTAATTATAAGCAGGAAATATTTATTGATATGAAAACCACACTCAATATATATCTAAATAAAAATATTAAGCTACAACAGTAAACATTTAGTCACTCTGTGTCTTAGTCCTTTTTGTGCTGCTATAACAGAATGCCAGGGACTGAGTAATTTATAAAAAAGAAAATGTGTTTCTCACTGTTCTGGAGGCTGGGAAGTTCAATATCAAGCTGTAGCATCTGGCGAGGACCTTCTTGCTGCATCATTCCATGGCAGAAGGCAAGAGGATGAGAAAGGGTGACAGTGAGAGAAAGAGAGAGCAAGCAAGAGAGGACCAAACTTGCTTTTATCAAGAAGCCACTCCCATGATAACTAACTCCTCCAATAGTGGCATTAATTCATTCATAAGGGCAGAGCCGTCATGACTTAATCACTTCTTAAAGGTTCCCCTCTCAACACTATTGCATTGAGAATTAAATTTCTAACACATAAACTTTGGGGGACCCATTTAAACCATAGCACCCTAAAATTCATGTATACCTATCACAGGGGAGAAAAGGTTTCTTTTCTTTCAAGACTGAAAGACCTATGATAAAAAACAGATAACAAGCAAAAAGGAAACAAATTTATTTTATATAAGTTTTATGTGACACAGGAGTCTTTAGAAATGAAGACCCAGTGGCTCATGCCTGTAATGATTACAGTGGCTCATGCCTGTAATCACAGAACTTTGGGAAGCTGAGGCAGGAAGATTGCTTGAGCCCAGGAGTTTGAGATCAGCCTGGGCAACATGGTGAAATTCAATCTCTACAAAACATACAAAAAATTAGCTGGGCATGGTGGTGTGTACCTGTCCTCCCAGCTACCTGGGAGGCTGAAGTGGGAGGATTCCTTGAGCTTCGGAGGGTGAAGCTGCTGTGAGCCGTGATTGCACCACTGCACTCCAGCCTAGGTGACAGAGTGAGACCCTGTCTCAAAAAAAAGAAAAAAGAAAAAGAGAAACAAAGACCCCCCAAAACAGGAAAAACTGTATTTTTGTGAACAGTTGCACAGAAGTATAACTGGAGGAAAAAAAAGAGTATGATGTAAATGGTAATAAATTGGGGCCGGGGGACTTAGCAAGGCCTGTTTGTTCAGATTCTTTCCTGTGTGCCTGTGCTACATTCCTTTCCTCTGGGTACAGACAGGACCTCTCTGGAATGAGGGTCTTATGAACTATTTTAGAGGAAGGCCAGTGAATTATTTTATGGGCTGCTTCAGGGGAGAAGGGTGGGAGAAGGTCAGAGAGACCTTCCTGCTTCTGCTATTTTCTCAAATGTCAAGGTGCTATCCTTTGGGGTAGTCTGTGATCCCCATCAATATAAATAACTCTGGAAAGCCATTTGACAATATGTGAACACTGATTATTTCTTAGTAGTGACATACTTGGAAGTTGTATTTTTCTGGCCTACTTGATTTCTACACGTTAAAAAAATAAAATGAATATTATTTTGACATAAGACAAATAATTATAGATATTTAGATATATGTGTATATAAAATATTAATATTCACTATCTCTTAAAAATCAATGTAGCTATTAGGTCTGTGATTTCTTGTATCTTCTATTACAAGCTTTCATTAATATTTAAATTAGATAATATTTAAATTTAAATGGCATACTCTGGGTTTAATTTCAGCTTTAAAAATTCCTAGCTATTTTTAAATTAGTCTCTTTAAATATTTTTTTTTCTGAGCCTTTGTTTGCTTATCTGCATAATCCGAGGATTAAATTGAAAACAAACATGCAAACCCTTTGGCAATTTTGTAGATTCTTTACAAATGATAGTTGCTAATGTTATAAAGTTGTATGAGAGCATCATGTTCAATGACGGTTGAAAACATTGCATAAAATTGAAAAATAATACAAAGATGCTGCTGAAATTAATTATTCATCACACAACTAGTCATATTCAGAAAGCATGCCTGCTCCACTGATTCCCTCTGTCAGCCTTCTGGCAACACTTAAATGGCTTTAACTACCTCATGGAAAGGTTGTTTCACTTCAGTTTTCATGCTCAGCAGTGTTTAAAACAGTTTGTTTAACATAACAGAGGATCAATTAATTTTATCTGAATTAAGCTTTATTAATCATTGTTTTCATCTAAAATAAATATTTTCAAGGTTATCATAATTTTTTCTTGTCTTTGTGAAATGAAACATTTAATTTGGTTCTCTATGAGGGGGAAATGTAAAGAGGATTAAAACAGTACTGGAATGAGCGCCTTAAAAAACTCACTAAACAAATTTGGTTGGCTCTCTGTTCCTCTTTCCTTTTGTTTCCTTTTTGATAATGCTTCTGTGAAACTGAAATCGCTTTCATCTAGGAACAGTTTCCTGGGTCTTTTTATGATCTGGGTATAGTTAGACAATCAGAGTTGAAATTTTAGAATTCATGTCTTCTTGGTGTTTGCCTTCTTTTAGAGGACACTTAAAGTTTTGAAAATTATTCCTGGATTTAAGAAGCCCTGAGTGCCTTTGATAAGAGATGGTGACTTTCAAGTGCTAATTGACACACTTGGTTTATCACAGGATGCCAAGATCACCAGATGAGACACCCAAAGAGAGACATCAAAATCTCTCCCCTTCAAAGGAGCTCCCATACAGTTTGTTGGGAGTGCAAATTGGTGCAACTTATCTGGAGAACAATTTGCCAGTTATTTATCAAAATTATAAACGCACCTACACTTTGAACCAGCAACCTCCCTACTTAGAATATATACTGTGGATATACAAACATAAATTATCCAGAATATAAGTACATGGATATTCTTTAAAGTATTTTTTTGTAATCACCAAAACATTAGACAGAACTGTCCAACATATTGTGATAATGAAGGTAAAATATCTTTATTCTTAGGAATTGCATGCTGAAGAATTTAGGGAGAAGAGAAATATGACAAAAATGCTAACTGTGTTGAATCTAGATGATGAACACATGGGTGTTTATTGTACTATATCTGTTTTTCTCTATGTTGAACATTTTCATAAAATGTTTAAAAAAATAGTTCATTGATAAGATATTGGACAAATAAATTATAAAATGGTAAATATGTGGTTGTCAAATATGTAACAAAATAAATAATAAGTATATTTTTCAGTGAAAATGGTAAATGGCAGAAAACTAATCATCCCATGTAGAGTATCTGAAGAATTACTTTAGAATAAGGCTCTGGAGCTATGATGGAATAGCCTGCAGAAGGCAGATACTCCTACTGAGAACAATTAAAAAGCTGGATAGGATACAAAAAAAAGTGCTTGAAGGCATCAGAGAGTTACTGAAGCGACTAGGATTTGAGGGTACAAGAGCTCAGAGAGAAGAAAACCTTTAAGAAGATAACATCTGTAACTGCTTTTTATCCTCAGGGCGTTTGACTATTCTTGGTATTGAGCAAATAGTTGAGTAGCCTGGTGTAGAGCCAGGAAGATGTTTGCAGCTAAGAGAGAGAGAAGCCAGCAGAGTCTGGCAATTTCATGGAATGGGAGGGACAAAAATTAAAGTTTGGGGATATGAATGTCAGAGGTGTTTGAACCAGAGCACTCCATCTTGAATAGGGGCTGGGTAAAACAAGACTGAGACCTACTGAGCTGCAGTCCCAGGAGGTTAGGTGTTCTTAGCCACAGGATGAGATAGGAGGTTGGCACAAGACACAGGTCACAAAGACCTTGCTGATAAAACAGGATGTGGTAAAGAAACTGGCCAAAACACACCAAAATCAAGATGGCAATGAAAGTGACTTCTGGTCGTCCTGGCTGCTCATTATATGCTAATTATAATGTATTAGCAGGCTAAAAGACACACCTACCAGTGCCATGACAGTTTACAAATGCCATGGAAATGTGGGGAAGTTACCCTATATAGTCTAAAAAGGGGAGGAATCCTCATTTCTTGAAATTGCCCACCCCTTTCCCAGAAAACTCATGAATAATCCACCACTTGTTTAGCATGTAATCAAGAAATAACTATAAGTAGACTCAGTTCAGCAGCCCATGCCGCTGCTCTGCCTACGGGGTAGTCATTTTTTGTTTCTTAACTTTCTGAATAAACTTGCTTTCATTTTGTTACAGGGAAGGGGCCCCAATCCAGACCCCAAGAGAGGGTTCTTGGATCACACGCAACAAAGAATCTAGGGCAAGTCTGTAAAGTGAAAGCAAGTTTATTAAGAAAGTAAAGAAATAAAAGAATGGCTACTCCATAGAGCAGCCCTGAGGGCTGCTGTTTGCCCATTTTTATGGTTATTTCTTGATGATATGCTAAACAAGGGGTGGATTATTTATGTCTTCCCTTTTTAGACCATATAGGATAACTTCTTGATGTTGCCATGGCGTCTGGAAACTGTCATGGCGCTGGTGGGAGCGTGGCAGTGAGGGCAACCAGAGGTCACTCTCGTGGCCATCTTGGTTTTTTGGGTTTGGGCTGGCTTCTTTACTGCAACCTATTTTATTTGCAAGGTCTTTATGACCTGTATCTTGTGCTGACCTGTCTCATCCTGTGACTTAGAATGCCTTAACTGCCTGGGAATGCAGCCCAGTAGGTTTCAGCCTCATTTTACCCAGCTCCTATTTAAGATAGAGTTGCTCTGGTTCAAATGCCTCTGAGAACTTTACTGTGTGGACTTACCCCAGATTCTTTCTTGCAAGGTCCAAGAACCCTCTCTTGGGGTCTGGATTGGGACCCCTTTCTGGTAACATGAATACAGCCAGAATATGGGGCGAAGGCAAGATCCTGGTGAAAAGAGAGGCATAGAAAATTAAGACCAGCGGCCAGTTTTGTCCTTCAGGCATTTGCCAAATTCCTAAATGCAAAGTTTAAAAGTAAGCAGAATGCTCATGGAAGTCAGAGTGGCGTCTTTCGCCACTGAAAGACTTTTACCATTTCATAGTGCCAAGAAGACAAAAATTACACTTCAGAATCCACTAAAAGGAGGGCCTTTGTAAAACCACTCAGACAGCTACAGGCTAGGGGTAGAAGTGAACCAGAGAAAATAAAACTTTATAAAAACTGTAACTCAAATTAAGTCAGCTCAGTCCCTAATTGGATGCAGATGACATGCCCACGCTTTGTGTACCAGAGGTAGAGGGAAGCTCATTTAGGGGACGATAATACCTCTGGGTACTCTGTATTTTATCATATAAAATGTCCAACAATCCATCAAAAATTAATAGGTATTCCCATAATTAGTTCTAAGAGGGGGAAAAAAGACAATAGGAAAAAACCATGGATGATCTAGATTTTGGAGTTATAAAACATATAGTTAAAGTAGCTGTAATCAATAGTTTCAAGAAAGTAAAGTGAAGAATTTCATTAAAGAAGTGAAAATTTAATTATTGAAAAATGAAATATTTAAAATTCAGTAGATGAGTTTAATTACATTGCACATAGCAGAAAATAAGATAAATATACTGGTCAGTGGAAATGTTCTGGCTGAAGCACAGAAAGATAAAAAGATAGAAAATACACAAAAAAGGTTAAGAGACATCTAAGATATGGTGAGAAAGTCTGACGTGAATTGAAATTCTAAGGGTGAAGGAAAGTGATGCCAGGGCAAAAGCAATATTTAGGAAACAATGGCTGAGTCTTTCCTAAAAATGTAAAAGGAAGGAAATCTTGCTACAGATTGAAGAATCTTTATAACTCCAAGCATGAAAAGTATTAATACTAAGAAAAAAAATACTTCAGCACATTATAATAAAATTGTTTAAAACCATGGACAAAGAGAAATTCTGAAAAACTTCTAGAGAAAAAGAAGACATTACCTGAAAAAGAATATCCATAAGACAGAGCTATTTTCTCAAAAGAAATGGATGAAATTAGAACTCAATGGAAATAGACCTTTAAAACAAACAGCACAAACACACACACACACACACACAAAACAGAAAACCAGCCACTGACCTAGAATTCTGAATGTACCAATAATATTCTTCAAAAGATAAGGCATATTAAAGAATTTCTATGCAAACAAAAATTAGCTAAATTAAAATTGCCAACATTTATCCACTAAAAGAGATACTAACATAGAAAGTAAATAATCCTGGAGATAAAATAAACATGAAAATGAAGGAAGAGCAATGGAGTCAATCACTGAATAAATATAAATAAACTGATGATTTTATAATAATTATGTATCCTAAGATTTAAAACATAGAATTAAAATGCATAAAAACAAAAACACAAAGTGGAAGAAGGAATAAGACTCAAGTGTTTGAAGATCTGGGAATTGGTAAGCATGAGTACTAATTTTATATTAAGTTGTAGTAAGAGAAAAATGCCCAATGTAATCTGTCCAGAGCCTCCGAAAGAACAATAACAACAACAAAAATGTTTAAAATACACGTACAGGGGAAAATAAAATAATAAAAATAATTGTTTAACCAAAAAGGGGTAAGAAATGAGGAAAAAAGAAATATAAAAGCTGAGGAAAACAGTGCTAAAAAGAAGAAATAGAATGATGACAAATATAAATATATCAACAATTATGATAAATTCATCAATTAATAGACTAAGCTTGACAGACTGAATAAAAGGCAAAATCCACAACATGCTGCTTATGGGGAACATACCTTGTGTATAAAAATACAGAAGGATTAAAAGTAAAAGAATGGAAAAATATATACCATGTAAATGCTAACCAAAAGGAAAAGTGATATAGATGTACTAATAATAGACAAATTAGAGTTTAAGACAAAATGTAATCTTAGAAATAAAGAAGAATATTTTACAATGATAAAAGTGTAGTCCCATTAGGAAGATAAAACAATTCCAAATATTTACACATATAGTAACGTATCTTCAAATTCTATAAGGCAAATGTTGGAATGGAGAGCTGGACAAATCTATAACCTATAATAAAAATAAAATAATATAGAGTATTTGAAAAAATGATTAAGAAATTTAAAGTCATAAACATGTAGAAACTTGCATCCACCAATAAAATAGTTCCTATGTGTTTCTAGTGGTAGAATAATGCCTATGTGTTTCTAGTGGACATGAAACATTAGCAAATTTGACTCTATGTTGTATCATATAGCAAGATTTGGTCATATTTGGTCATATAGAAAGACACTAAACAATATTACCTCATTACTTGCATTTCTTCCCCTTGATTCTTGGCTGTGAGAGAAATATCACTATCTACTGGATGCTGTTTTAGGGCCTGGACAGCCTCATGGAGGGCATTGCTTTAGCCCTGCAAGGTGTAGCTGAGCCTTCAAAAGGCCATTCCACTGTTGTACCAAACCAAATGATACAGGATGAGGGGAAACACAGTAAGGCCAGTGAATTATATGAGCGTGGGCCCATTGCCACAAGTTATTTGCTGTGAATGAGTTGTTTGATCAGAAGTAATGTGTACAGAATTACTGCAATAGTGGATAAGACACTCTGCAGTATGACAGGTTTGGAAGAAACATTGCATTCAGGTAAGGCAAATCCATATCCAAGTGTTTTTACAGTAAGAACAAAGTTACGCCCCTCTATGTGGAAAGTAGTCCGTTTTAATCATGCTGCCACTAAGTAGCTGGCTGATCACCCCAGGAAATGATGTCATATTGGGCGCTTAGTGTTGTTCTCTGCTGCTGGCAGATTGGGCCCTCAGCATGACTGTCGCCAAGTTGATCTTAGTGAGTGGAAGTCCACATTCCTCAGCTCATATATATAATCTCCTTCCCTGACACCATGGCCACTTTGTTCATGAACCCATTGGGTAATGAAAGGCATGGCTGGACAAAGAAGCTGATTGGTATCCATAAAAATGAATCATCTTATCCACTTGATTATCAAAATTCTCCTCTGCTAAAGTCACCTTTGAGGATCATTTAGATGAAACCAAATATCTTACCATTCTTTGTCCATTCCAATGGATCTATCCTTGTAACTCTTCTTCAGACATTCTTGTCACCAATTTTCCAGTCATGTTTCTTCCAGGGGCCCGATTGTCCAGACGAATCACTGGTCACATCTTGTGAATTTGTCTAGATTCATATTTCTGGCCATTTCTCCTTTCAAGAGAAATGAACTTTGGTATATAACTCAAATTAAAAAAAAAAAAAAAAAGCACGTTGCTCAGCGTTCTGCCTACTGGGAGGATTTCCCTTCACCACTGTGTTTCAGGGATGTCCCAGAAAGGGGTGTAGTGCTGCAGTTGTTCACTTTTGGCTATGCTTTCATATCATGCAGCATCTGTAAAGCAGGCCTAGCTTTCTCTTTCTCAGCCAACTGGTCAAAAAACAAAACAAAACCAAACAAAAACAACAATAACAAAAACTCCACATGAAGCCATAGTTGTAGGCTGGGAAAGAAAAGGTAATATTATAGGGCTCAGGAAGATTTGGGTCACTTCTTGCAATTTACTTGTAATTCTAGGGCCTGCTTGATCCCAGTATCACCCATACTTCTTCCATTCAATAACAGAGTGCTGCTGTGCATGCCCAACTTTATGGTGTGGTGGTTCGGACAACACTGTGTTTATGATGGGCAGCCAAGGTCATGTGGTATCTTGATGGCCTGTGGTTAAGTGTTTATTCTCTCCTAAGGTGCAGGAGCAAGCCAAAAGCTGTTTCTCAGATGGAAAGTATTTATCCACAGAACAGCAGGGCAGAATTGCTCTCCTTCTGGATACTTTAAGGGAGAATCCATTTTCTTACCTTTTTAAGCTTCTAGATGCCACCTGCATTTCTTGGCTAGTGGCCCTTTCTTTCATCTTCAAAGCCAGCAAAATTGTCACAGCTCTTTCTCTGAGCACAGCCAAGAAATGTTCCTTGTTTTCAGGAACACATTTGATTAGATTGGGCCCACTAGGATAATTCAGGATAATCTCCACATCTCAAGGTCTGTACCCATAATCACATCTACAAATCTCTTTTGCCACAGAAGGTAACATATTCATAAATTATGGGAAATAGAGCATGGGCATCTCTGGGGGTCATTATTCTGTCTGCCACAGATGCCTACTATCATTTTCTAATCAACATTGTACTGGAGGTCTTAGTCAGTGAAATAAGGCTAAATAAATAAATATGCATATGACACAATTATGTACCTAAAAAACCCCCAAACAAGCTTTAGAAATAATAGATATCCTATTAGAAATAGTGAATTTAACAAAGTCACTTGATAGAAAATAAATATTTAAAAAATCAATTCTACATTTATATAATAGCAACAAACAAGATAAAATAAAAACTTAAAAATTCTGTTTACAGTGGTATCAAAAACATTAAAAAACTAAGACTAAATTTAATAAAAGATATGAGAATCTTTTCAATAAAAACTACAAAACATTATTGAGTGATATCAAAGACTTAAATACATGGAAGTGTATGTAATATATACAGGATTGAATCAATGTGGCAAAGACATTAATTTTCCTCAATTGTAGAATCAATACAATACAACTTAAAATATGATTTTTTTTTTCAGAAATTGACAGTTGATTCAAAAATTCATATAGTAATACAAAGGGCCCTAAGTCAAACAATTTTGAAGAACAAATCTTGAGGTCTTAAACTGTGAGATATCTACACACATTACTACAAAGCTATAGAAATTGAGATAGTGTGGTATTGACATAAGGCTAGACAAACTGACCATAGAAAAGAATGAAGAATCTAGGAGACATACTGTAATGGTAGGGCAGGTAGGATGATGGTTTTTCGATAAATATTGCTGAGTCAACTGGCTAGCCCAATGGAAAAAAATGTATTTGAATCCATACCTCATATACAGAAAAATCAATTCCAGATAGTTTGTACAACTAAATGTGAAGAGTAAGATGATAAAACTTTTAGCGGTAAATGCAAGAGAATCTTATATGATTACCATAGGGTTGTCAAAGAATCCCTAAAAAAGACACAAAAGCATGAGCCATAAAAATAAATGGGCAAGGCACAATGGCTCACACCTGTAATCCTAGCATTTTGGGAGGCCAAGGTGGGCAGCTCACCTGAGGTCAGGAGTTCAAGACCAGCCTGGCCAAATGGTAGAACCCCTGTCTCTACTAAAAATACAAAAATTAGCTGGGTGTGGTGGCACATGCTTGTAATCCAAGCTTCTCAGGAGGCTGAGACAGGAGAATTGCTTGAACCCAGGAGGCGGAGATTGCAGTGAGCCGAGATCGCCCCATTGCACTCCAGCCTAGGCGACACAGCGAGTCTCTGTCTAAAAAAAAAAAAAAAAAATTGGACTACAGTTGACTTTGAACAACATAAAGATTAGGGCCACTAACTCCTCACACAGTCAAAAATCCGTATATAGCTTTTGACTTCACAAAAACTTAATTACTAATAGCTTATTGTTGGCCGGAAGCCTTACCAATAACACATAGTCGATTAACACATATGTTGTATATGTATTATATGCTGTATTCGTACAATAAATCTAGAGAAAAGAAAATGTTAGTAAGAAAATTTTTATCTGAAGAGAGAGAAAAGAAAAAAAAGAAAACCAAAAACCAAAAAACCCCCAAAATTATAAGGGAGAGAAAATATATTTACTATTTATGAAGTAGAAATGGATCATCATAAAGATCTTTCTTATCTTCATGATCTTTGCATTGAGTAGGCTGAGGAGGAGAAGGAAGAGGAGGGTCTTGCTGTCTCAGGTGTGGCAGAGATAGAAGAGGTGAAAGAGGTGGAAGAGAAGGCCGTATAGTGAGGCACACTTAGTGTAACTTTATAGAAGCATATCGTAATTTCTGTCTGGCTTTCTTGCTTTTTCATTTCTCTAACAATGTGTCTATATGGTATCAATTCTTCTTCCACCATTTGCTTTAATTTCCATGCCTGTATCATAGAAGGGTCTATGTCATAAAAGAAGTCAAAAGCAGTCCTCAATTATCAGAACCCTTCTGCCAGATTGTCTAATGTAAATGTGTTTTCTGGCACTGCCTCTTCTACGTCTTCTTCCTCAGTGTCTGTCAGTAGTTCAGATGCACTCATTTTCATCAAGTTGACTTCTGCTAATTCCTTTGTTGTGGCATCTATGAGCTCTTGAATTTCTCTAAGATCGTTTACCACCCTCCCCCACCCCACATACTTTTTTTCTTAAACCATATCCATGATCTCTTTCATAATTTCCTTGATTGGTTCTAATTTACATCTGAATTACATTTTTTAAATTGGCATGGTTTACATCATATGAAGTCACGCACATCTGGACACAGTTTTCTCCAAGATGAATATATTGTTTGTGCTTGGTGGATTTCATGGCTTTTTCTATGACAACGATGGCGTCTTCAATGGTATAATTCTTCCAGACTTTCATAACGTTCTCTCTGTTGGGGTTCTCGTCCTTGACAATCCTTTCAATAGAGTACAGTATGTAATGAGCCGTAAAGGTCTTTATAACTCCCTGATCTGGAGGCTGAATTAGAGATGCTGTGTTTTAGGCTAAGTGCATCTCTTTGAACTCACGGAGTTCTGATGGCCAGAGACATTGTCTAATATCAAAAGAACTTTAAAAGGCAGTCCCTTCCTGGCAAGGTACTTTCTGACTTCAGGGACAAAGCATCAATGGAATCAATCCATAAAAAGTGTTCTTGTCCAGAACTTCTTGTACAACCAAAAGACTGGCAGCTGGTGTTTACCTTTTCTCTTCGAGGTTTGGGGGTTAGCAAGCCTTGGGGGTTAGTTGATCACAAACTCAACTGCATTTGCACAAAAAAGGAGAGTTAGTCTATCCTTTCTGTCTTAAATCCTGGTGCTCCCTCCTCTTCCTTAGTAATAACTGTTCTTTGTGGCATTTTGTCCCAGAACAGGGCACTTTTGTCTACATTAAAAAGCTGTTTAGGCAGATATCCTTTCTCCTTAATGATTTTCTTAATGATGTCTGGGAACGTGTCCACTGTCTCCTGGTTGGGAGAACTTGCTTCTGTTGTTATCTTGACATTTTAAAAGCCAAATCTTTTTCTAAAATAATCTAACCATCCTTTAACGACATTAACTTCTCCAGTTTTTGGTCCTTCACCTTCATTTTGATTTGTCATATAATGACTTCACTTTTCCTGGAATTATATTAATGTCTACAGGTATGCCATTCTTAGAGCAATCCTGCACCCACATACAAGCTGCATTTTTAATATCAGATAAAAATTTATTTCAGGTTGGGCGCAGTGGCTCACGCCTGTAATCCCAGCCCTTTGGGAAGCCGAGGTGGGTGGATTACCTGAGGTCAAGACCAGCCTGGCGAACACTGAAACCCCATCTCTACTAAAAATACAAAAATTAGCCGGGTTTGGTGGCACACACTGGTAATCCCAGCTACTTGGGAGGCTGAGGCAGGGGAATCACTTGAATCTGGGAGGCGGAGGTTGCAGTGAGCCGAGATCATGCTACTGCACTCCAGCCTGGGTGACAGAGCCAGACTCCCGTCTCAAAAAAAAAATTTCATAAAAAGTGCAAAGTTTTTGCTCCTGGTGGTGTAGCTGCAATGAGGCTTCACACATTTCCTTTTCTGTCCATTTTTTTTTTTTTTACAACGGTGCTTACACTGGACTTATCTTGAAATGGCAGGCGACCACAGCCTCAGACCTCAACCTAGGCTAATATTAAGAAATTCAACTTTTTCTTGTAGTGTCATACCTTTTTCTGCATCTTGGGAACACTTCCATCATCACTAGTGGCACTTCATGTGGATCTCACTATGTTATTCAAGGTTCACGGTATTTTACCAAACACAGTGAAAAATACAAGGAACTGTGAAAGATCACTTTTTACTGCAATATGAAATTTGCTGGAGAGGTGAACTGTTCACACAGAGATGATTAGTGTTACATGGCATTTTAAGGGGATGCTTGCAACACTTTAGCTCACTATAATAGTAACGGGAGGTTGCTACAAAATTATTACAGTAGTAGTATGTACTATAGTTAATTTTATGCAGTTATGATTTAATACTGCATCTTTATGTTTGTTTACATTTCTTTTGAATGTGAATGGCACCATGTATGCTCTGTAAGTTTTTGTGTGCATAATCTTTGATAAATTTAAACTTTTTATAATAGATATGTGTATATTTTATGGTGGTACATGATAAAATAGACTAGTAGCTACATATATTTTATGCATTCATAACATACCTAAGTTTTCCTTATTTTTTTTGATATTTCTAGGCTATGTGGTTTGTCTGAGAGTTTTTTCAAATGTCATCATAATCTCCAAAAGATTTTCCAGTATATTTATTGAAAAAATCTACGTGTAAGTAAACCCACACAGTTAAAACTCGTGTTTGTTGTTCAAGGGTCAATTTTATATCAAAATGAAGGAATTCTGTTCATAAGAACACATAATTAAATGAGTGAAGAGGCAACAGAGTGGAAGAAGATATTCATGAATACATAAAGAAATCCTAGACGTCAAAAAGAAACTGATAATGTAATTTAAAAAATGAACAAAAAATTTCACCAGATACTTCACTAAGAGAATACTCAAATGGCTAATTAACAGATGAAAAAAAATCAACTTCATTAATCACAAGGGAATGTAAATTAAAGTCATATAATCATTCTACAGCATACTCATCTTAATGTCTAAAATGGAAAGCATGAAAAATGCTAATTGTTGGTCATGATATGGAAAATCTAGAACTCTCATCGCTACTAGTGGCAGTATACTTATTTTGAAAAATTGGCAGCATCAGTAAAAGCTGACCATATGCATACGTGTGATCTAGCAATTCCATGACCGAATATATACCCAAGAAAAATGTGTAATATAGTTATCCAAAACATGTGCAGTCAGCCGTGTTATAATGTAATACACATGTCCATAAAAACCACATTATGCAAAAGCATACAGTAAAAATCACAGGGATTGTGGAAAAAATACATTTATAAACAAAACACTCAAAAGTGTAATCAGTGACCCGTAAAGAAGATGAAAACCTATTAAAAATGGTAGTGCAATTTTATATATGTTAAATGGCTTAACAAATACATAAATGCTATAATAAATAAGACCTGAAGTTTCCTTTTGAAAGTGGACATCAAGCATTGCAGCTTGTGAATTATTATGAAAAGGTAGAAGGGGGTGTATTACTTTCCTATGGCTACTGTGACAAATTACCACAAACTTGGTGGCTTAAAACAACAGAAGTTTATTCTCTCATGGTATTGGTGCTGGACACCAGAGGTCCAGAAGCTAGGCGTTTGCAGGGTTGCACTCTCTCTGAAGGCTTTAGGGGAGAAACACTTCTTGTCTCTCCCTGCTCTAGTGGTTCTGGGGATCCTTTGGTTTATGGTTGCTTCCTTCCAATCTCTGCCTCCATCTTCATATTGACCATCCCTTCTCCCTGTCTTCTTCTCTTTTTTTCTTTTATAAGGCTGGATTATTGGATTTAGGCCCACCTGACTAATCCTGAATGATTTCGTCTTGAGATCTTTCATTTAGTTACATCTGCAAAGACTTTGTCTACATAAGGTCATAGTCACAAGTTCTGGGGTTTAGGACATGAATATATTTCTTTTGAGGCCACCATTCAATCTATTATAGGCGGGTTATCAAAATTTGCAATCTTTTGCAGCCTTAAATCTGGGGTTGTGTTTTTCTGTTTTTGAAATGTAAGTCCTCTGAGGCACGAGTTCATAATAGATGCCTATTTTATCAAAAACGAACAAAGTGGTTCAAATGCATAGCCACCTTTTTCAATTAAAACTTTAATTTTTCGATCACTGCTGGAAATTATTTTGTGACTTTCTGGTTTGCACTCTTGGCTTTGTCTGAGAGTTGAAGCCTCTGGAAATTGCTGCATCCATCAAAATACTGACTACTAGCACTAAAATAAACCACTTTAGCAGGATTTGGCAATTTCTGTTTAAGGTCTCTGCATATAGGTGGTGCTTTCTCTTTTTTTTTTTTTTTTTTTTTTTTGAGACGGAGTCTCGCTCTGTCGCCCAGGCTGGAGTGCAGTGGCGGGATCTCGGCTCACTGCAAGCTCCGCCTCCCGGGTTCACGCCATTCTCCTGCCTCAGCCTCCCAAGTAGCTGGGACTACAGGCGCCCGCCACTACGCCCGGCTAATTTTTTGTATTTTTTTTAGTAGAGACAGGGTTTCACCGTTTTAGCCGGGATGGTCTCGATCTCCTGACCTCGTGATCCGCCCGCCTCGGCCTCCCAAAGTGCTGGGATTACAGGCGTGAGCCACCGCGCCCGGCCGGTGCTTTCTCTTTGATTATGAGAAAGGTTGTTCCTGATATTTTTCACTGGTCTTGAGTCCACATGCTCAACAATCTATTTCTTTTATTTATTTAGGCCTTGTTCTTATTGACTTTATAGCATTTGTAGCATTTGAAGTTGTTCCAGCCTTTCTGGAGATTAAAAAAAGCCAAATTTCTTTCATTTTTATAGTACTATGTCTCATGGTCTATGTGTAGATTCCTTTATGACTATTGCTTGTGAGATATGATATGCTCTCTTATTTCTTTTAAAATAACACATAATTTCTAGCTTCTATTTAATACTTAAAACTTATTTTGTATGTTCTCCCTAGCATTCTTGAACCAGGATGCTTAGAGATGTTTGGGATGTTGAATGTCCATTTTTTTTTAATATAGAAAAGTTCACAATGAAATACAAAATACAACCTTGTAGAATAACACATGTAGTGAACTGAGGTAGCTGATAGATGTTTGAGGTGTATGCGTGTGTGTGTTTTCCTCGTTCCTACACGGATTGATTTGGCTGGGTGGAATTTTAAGTGTGCATCTAGTGCCTCTCACAAACAAAACTGCACATAAGCAAACACAAAACTTGCAGTAAGCATAAGTGTTCTCTAATATACCAGTTGTGTTGAAACAGATTTGTGTTTCTAAGCAAGCAGAACTGACTATACTAGAATGTTCACAGCAACACTATTTGTATGAGCCTCAAATTGGAAACTACTCAAGAATGCATCAATGGGAAAATAGGTAAGTTCATTCTGGTAGACACACAATGCAATACTATATAGCGATGTGAATGATTGATGTGTATTACACATAAAAATATGGACGCATCTTGCAAACATAAAATTGAGCAAAAGAAGTCAAATATACAAGCGTATATACTGCATTATTTCACTTACATTAATTTCATTACATCCTCGCTTGTTCCAGAGGGTTGCCTTTAGTTGTCTTGCACGGAGCACACATATACTTTCCCTGTGGTATATAAGCCTTGGGCCTGGGGATTAACAATGCATAGATCTACCTGTCTTGCAGCTACCCAAGACCATGCTTCTGTCTATGAGGCCTCTCAATAAATCATCCAATATGGACAAACTGAAATGGTCTGCCTCCTTCTTCAGTTTCCTGGCTCCTTTGGCATTTGGGAATTGCTTTGCATATACAGCCCTTTCATGGAACAATCCCCAAAAGAAATCCTGTGCCATTTAGCCATTATCTCTGTCCCCCAGCCCCAGAAAACTGCTAATCTATTTTCTATTTCTATCAATTTGCCTATTTTGGACATTTCCTATAAATGGAATTGTACAATATGTGGTCCTTTCGATTGACTTCTTTCACTTAGCATAAGATTTTCATGGTTCATCTATGTTGTGTCATATATTAGTACTTCAGTCTTTTTTCTATTCTTGAGCCATATTCTATTATATGAATATATCATACTTTGTCTATTCATCAATTGAAGTGAATTCAGGTTCTTAGAATTTTTTGGCTATTATAAATAGTGCTTCTGTGAATATTTGTGTACAAGTTTCTATGTTTCCATTTCTCTTGGACATATGTTTCCATTTCTCTTGGAAATATAACTAGGAGTGGAATTGGTTGACCATATGGAAAATTTATGTTTAAGTTTTGATGAACTTCAAGGCTGTTTTCCAAAGTGAATGCACTGTTTACATCTCCTCTAACAATGTATGAGAGTTCCAGTTTGTCTAACTTCATGACAACTCTTGCTACTCTCCGACTTTTTAATCCTAGCCATCATAGTGTGTGTGAAGTGGTGTTTCATTGTGATTTGAATTGGCATCTCTCTGATGAGTAATGATGTTGAGTATTTTTAATGTGTTTGTCGGCCATATGTATATCTTATTTGGAGACATGTCTATTCAGATTCTTAAAATTGGGTTGTCTTTTTACTATCGAGTTGTAAGCATTCTCTAAATACATATTCTAAATATAAGTCCCTTGTCAGATATGTTATTTGAATTTTTTTTTCTTCCATTTTGTATTTTTATCTTTCTTGATTGGGCAAAAATGTTTTAAATTTTGATGAAGTTCAGTTTGTCAATTTTTTTCTTTGGTTGCTTGTACTTTTGGTGTCACATCTAAGAAACCATTATCAACTCCAAGTTCATTAAGACTTAAGCCTATTTTCTTCTAAGGGTTTTATAGTTTTAGCCTTTATATTTTGGTCTGATACCCATTTTGAGTTAGTTTTGTGTATGGTATGAGGTAGGGGCTCAAACTTCATTCTTTACCATGTGGACATCCATGCATCCCAGCACCTTTTATTTTAAAAATTACTGCTTCCCAATGAAATGTTTTGACCCCCTTGTTGAAAATGAAGTGAGCATAAATGTGATTGTTTATTTCTGGTCTCTCAGTTCTGTTCCATTGATCTATATATCTATCCTTATGTCTTGATTACTGTAGCTCTGTAGTATGTTTTGATATCAGGATGTGTGAATATTCCAATATAGTTCTTTTTCAAGATTGTTGTGGTTTATTCTGGTTATCTTGAATTTCCATATTAATTTTAGGATCAGTTTGTCAACTTATGCATAAAAGCCAACTGAGATTTTGGTAACAACTGTGTTAAATCTGTAGATGAATTTAAGGAATATGGCCATCTTAACAATTTTAATCCTTGAAATTGAGAAGTTGCTCCATTTTAAAAGATCTTTAACAATTTCTTTCAACAATATTTTGTAGTTTTCAGAGTATGAGTTTTGCACCATTTTCATTAATTTATTCCTAAGTGTTTTATTTGTGATGCCATTGTAAATGCAGTTCTTTTCTTAATCTCATTTCCAGATTATTTATTGCCATTTGTATACAACTGGTTTTAACATATTAGTCTTGTATCTTGCAACCTTGCTAAACCTGTTTTATAGTTTGAATAGTCTTTTAGTGGATTCCTTAAGAATTTCTATATCCAAGATTATATCATCTGCAAACAGGGGTAGTTTTACTTTATTTACCAATTTCCATGCCGTTTAGTTCACTTTCTTGCATAATTTCTCAGGTTAGAACCTCCAGTACGCTTAGTAAAAGAAGTGAGAGAGTGCATCGTGGTATTTTTTTGATCTTAGGGGGAAAACATTCAGTTTTTTGTAGTCAGGTATAATGGTAACTGGGTTTTTTATAGCTGCCCTTTATCAGGGTGAGAAAATGCCGTCCCATTTTTATTTTGCTGAGTATTTTTATCATGAAAATGTTGAAATTTTTCAAATACTTTTTTTGTATTATGAGATGATTATGTGGGTTTCGTCCTAAACTTTATTGATATCATATATTATCTTTGGATGTTGCGTTCCTGGGATAAATTGGCATTTTATCATGGTGTTTTTAAAAATATGTCTAAATTTGGTTTATTAGTATCTTATTGAGAATTTTTGTCTGTATTCCTAATACTTATTGGTCTGTAGATTTCTTTTCTTGGGATGTGTCTGTCTTGTTTTGGTAATACTGGCTTCATGAAACTCTCTTCTTTGGAAGAGTTTAGGAAGAATTGATATTAATTCTTTTTTACATGTCTGGCAAAGTTCACCAGTGAAGTCACCTGGGCTTGAATTTTTCTTCGGGTGTTTTGTTTTGATTACTAATTCAATCTCTACTTGCTACAGGTCTATCCAGATTCTCTATTTTTTCTTGAGTCAGTTTCTGTAGCTTGTATGTTTCTAGGAATTTGTACATTTTATCTAAATTATTTAATGTATTGGCATCCAATTGTTCATAGTATTTCCTTATAATCCTCCTTATTTCTATAAGCTTGGTAGTAATATCCCCTGTTTTAGCTCTAAATTTAATAATTTGAGTCATCTTTCTTTCTTTTCATTGTCAGTCTAGCTGAGTTTGTCATTTAAAAACATATTTTCAAAGAACAACTTTAAAAAAATTCCTTGTTTCTCTATGCTCTGTTTTCCTAAGTTCTAGTTTAATGTTATAATTTCTTTCCTTTTGCTTGCTTTACATTTAGTTTGCTCCCCTCTCTCCAGTGTCTTAGGTAGAGAGGTTAGGTTATTGATTTGAGATCTTTTTCAACAAAGGAGTTTCTAGTTATAAATTTCCCTCTAGTTCTGCTTTAGTTGTATACAGTAAGTTTTGGTTTTGATATGTTGTGTCTTCTTTTTAATTCAGCTGCAAGTAATTTCTTTTATTTTTTATTTTTAAAAAGTATTTAAAATTTCATAGAGATGAGTTCTCACTGTTGCCCAGGCTGGTTTTGAATTTCTGTCCTCAAGTTATTCTCTCTCCTTGGCCTCCCAAGGTGCTGGGATTATAGGCATGAGCCACTGCACCTGGCTCAAAGGAATTTCTAATTTCTAATTTTCCTGTGAATTCTTCCTTGACCTATTGGCTGTTTGATAGTATGTTTTCTAATGTCTGTGTGTGTGTATATATATATATATATATCTGAAATTCTCAATTTTCTTTCTGTTACTATTTTCTAATTTTATTCCATTGTTATTGAATAAGACATGTTGTCTGTTTTCAATCTTTTCAGATTTATTGAGGCTTGTTTTATGGTCCAGCATATGGACTATCCTGGAGAATATTCCATCTGTACTTGAGAAGAATACATATACTGCTGTCATTGAGTGTTCTGTAGGAAGGTATTAGGTATAGTTAGTTTATAGCGTTACTCAGGTTCGATTTCCTTGTTGATCTGTGGCCTATGTGTTCTGTCAATTATTGAAAGTGTAATATTGAATTCTCCAACTGCTATTGTTAGATTGTCTATTTCTCCCTTCAATTCTGTGAGTTTTTGCTCTCTGTATTTTGGTGCTGTGTTGTTAGGTACGTACATATTTCCTATCCAGCCATGGCACAGGCCCTACTGTTTTTTGGGTTTTTTTGTTTTGTTTTTTGAGATGAGGTCTTTCTCTGTCACCCAGGCTGGAGTGCGGGGTATAATCATAGCTCACCGCAGTCTCAAATTCCTGGGCTCAAGCAATCCTCCTGCCTTAGCCTCCTGAGTAGCTGGGGGTACAGGATCATGCCCCCACTCCTGGCTTTTTTTTTCTTTTTTCTTTTTTGTAGAGAAGGAGGTCTCTCAGTGTTGCTCAGGCTGATCTAGAACTTCTGGACTCTCCCACATTGGCCCCACAAAGTACTGGGATTACAGGCATGAACCCAGGCAGTCTTTGCTCTTTACTGAAAAGTATCCACCTCAGTCTCTTGCCTCAGTCTCAGTTTCCTCACCTGTAACATAGGAATCTTAATAGAAATTCCCAAAGAAGGGGAATTTTTGATTTAGGCTGAGCTGGCTGGATCAACAGTTGAAATTCTGGCTTTGTAAGAAGAAGGTCTTCTAGGATCCCTGTATCCCAAAGTCAATTTGTGTATATTTCTGAAAATATCACAGATGCAGTTGCCCCAACCCTGGGCAAATGAGGCAAGCCAGCTTTCTGATTAGGGCCACCAGATTTAGGAAATAAAAATGTAATTTTTATTTCCAGTTCAATGTGAATAATTTCTAATGGCATATGTATGTATACATTGAGATAAAAGAAAAATATTATGTGGACATATTTAAAAATTATTCATTGTTCATCTCAAATACATTATAAGTGTTTAAATTATATAACACTTTCTTTAATTTTGTGGCCTTAATGTTTTGGGTCTCTTTGTTACTTGTTTTATAAAATTCGCTTACAAAATTCTTTG
The DNA here is from genome assembly GCF_000001405.40 of Homo sapiens. Taxonomy (NCBI): domain Eukaryota; kingdom Metazoa; phylum Chordata; class Mammalia; order Primates; family Hominidae; genus Homo; species Homo sapiens. The sequence continues at coordinate 80,983,976 of NC_000010.11, forward strand.
CTGATACAATCTATGTTCCATTTACATTGTAATATACCATCTATATATTGTCACATAAAATTAATGGTATTCTTTTGTTTACTCAACATTGATTAATGAGAAAAAATAAGCTAGCACACTGGACATCTATTACCATAAAATCTACCACTCTGAGAAAGCTCTTCGAGTTAGATATGTTAAAATATATAATGCCATCTTCAATGGCATGACTTGTTTTTCCATTCTTCAGGATTTTAACTCTTGATCAATGACTTTCTAAAATGTTTTTCACTGACAAAAAGAAAATTATTGTCAACTTTTTCCCCCTTCTTCAACAATAAACATCATGAATTCATTTGTCCCCATGCTGGAAGAGTATTTACTAACATTCATTTAAAATAATTGAATTGTTCAAGAGATGAAATTCATTTCAAAACAGTCACACTAAATGCTGTAATAATTATCCTCTTCAAGTCAAAATTTCTTTTCCTATTCATAACTAGGGAAATTCATAAATAGGATGAATTCTATTCATCCTATTCATTCCTATTCATTACTAGGCAATACTGTGCCTAGTAAGAACAATCTTGACACTTAAAGGATGAGTTTTTGTTTTCTTTTTTTTTTATCCATTCAACAAGTTTCTGTTAGCAATGGAGTACTTCAATAACACTGTTTACTCTTCTTTGATTTGCATAATCTTTTTGCTTGAGAGAAAGTGAAAACAATGAACAAGAAATAAGTAGACTTCATTCAATGAATTATTTAAAAAGTCAACAAGAACTTTTTGGGCTACCAGAATTAAACTATGATTTCCATGTTTCAAAATGAACTGAAGATTCTCTCAACTGCTTTTGTTGAAGAAAACCAACAGATTTTTGAATTCTAGAGAATTAAAGAATACGAAATGATGACAAAATTACAAAAATCCCTCAGTTGTTCACTTTGAACAGCACTAAAGGGAACATTTTCGTGACAACTACTACAATGTTGGTAGAAAGGGTACAGATGCGGTCTGAGCAACATTAAACAGAATACGGACAAAATAGCTAACACCTTTCACAGAATCATTTATGCTTTGCTTTAACTTTGAATAAACATTGTTTGAACGTTTACACCAACATTTGTATTTGTATTATCTCCACCAAAAGCAGTATGATTTTTTGTCTTCACTCTTAGCTCAGTAAGAGAGTTTTCCACAAAAATTTGCTCTTGTTTCTGAAGTCTTATTTGGAAGAGATTTTACTTGCTAAAGCTTTAAAAACCAGCCCTTTTCATGGGAAAAATATTGTACAAGCAATGAAAAAAATTTTTTTTCTGCATTGTGATTACTTGCAATTATGCTGTGTCATCAAAAAAGGTGAGGTTTAGATTTTTGATAATCTCTGTAATAGTAAATGGAGCCATTTCATTTTTTAATTATTGCAGTAGTCTTCATCCTGGCACTTGAAAATTTGCTTGCAATATTGGAATCTGAAAATACTTATGGTAGCAGTATGTTCAAACAGTCATTTGAGCTGAAAGGCTGATGATGATATGCAACGAGAGGAGCCATTTTAACTTCTGCTGTGATTATTTTATCTTCTTTATTTGAATTTATCTTAATCAAAAAATTTGTTATTTTATCACTTCCTTTGGAAGTAGTTGAGGAAATCATAAATCTCTTAAGTGTAGCTGTCAGGATATCTTGGCTTGCACTGAATTTCAATTTATGATACTGAATAACAATTGCATGCTGTTCAAAGAGCTATGGAAGGATCTTTCCTCATTTAATAAATGTCCATTGTTGAAAAAATTCGTCACAAAAGTTATACCTGTGTTTTGGCATTTGAATAGATAATAGCCACCACCCAATAATTGAAAAGATTGCTATTACCTCTTCTTCAGCCTGTCTGTTACTCTCAAGTCCAAATTTATATTTATTAGTAAACATGGCTTGAATTGTGGAAACAGTTGAGAACTTACAAACAAATAATAAATTAGATATCAAATGCAAGACAAAATAAACTTCCTGATTGTCTGCAAGGGAGATCTGTACTTGTTAGACATAATATTCCTGAACAAAACCAGAGTTGACCTTGTGTAAGTCTTGGGAAGCATGGAGTTTGGGAATTGGTAGATTTTCAGAAGTGGGAGCGTTTAGGTATTGATAGATTTTCACCTATGTTAGAGTGGTCCCTGGATTAAAACTGCTGTGGACAGGTTTTCAGAAGCACCAGCCCTGGAGTGAGACGCTTGATGATTGGTTATTGTCTGGCAGTGTGGACCTGCCTCTGACAGGCTAACTTCCAGAAACAAATTACTGGAGACAGGTTGTCACTGATTGGCTGACTTCAGAGCATGTATACCAATCCAAAGTTATCTCTAACAGTAGTTATTTGTTCATGACTTGGCACTTTGGCTGCAGAACAGTTTTCCCCTTTCTAGAACGTCAAAAATCAGCATTTTGAATTCTCAGCCTCCCTCCTCACCCCATTCCCACCAACCTCATTTTTGGTCTTCCCTTAGCCAAACCTGCAGGAGAGACATTGAGCAGGGTTGTCCAGATCTCTATTTGTGGAGGTATCATTTTCAGCTAGTGTTGCTATATAAGTGGTTTAAGGGCCAAATTCTGTGGCAGAAAAATATCTTTAAGTGCTGAATTCTTATAATTAATTAAAAATAAATTTCTGATTACAGGATACTTAGAGTGTCCTGACAAAGTCAACACAGGTTGCAAGACAAAGTCGTCTATAGTATATGTCCTGAATATACAGAATGCTTGTCAACTTTCAACGTTATCACTGATGGTGCAGAGCAGAAAGGGGCTTTCTGAGAGCTTCTCCACTCCCAGGTTGATCTCTGAGGCAAGCACACACTTGGCTTCCTGCTCCCCTCAAGCCAGGGTGGGCTGACCAGACCCACAGGCCTGGGAGCCAAGTGTTTTCTCTCTGACTCGAGGGCTTCCACCAGGCAAGCATGATATTTATATATCCACCCTAATTATAGACTACATTCTCTAATATGTTCTCTAGACCTGTGAACTGTTATATTCTGCTGTGCCAACTACTTTTTTTCTTTTCTCAATGAAGGTTTTAATCCTGTTGTTTCATTTTAAATTCTTCATATTCTTTCTTTATTACATTCAATTTCCTTCCTTCTGCTTGCCTTTCTCAGTTCCTTTTTCTGGAATCTGCTGATTGCTGATTTACCAGCTAATCTTTATTTATTTTGTTGAGTCCATTTTTGCTGTTTTTTTTTTAACTGCAAACACAAAATAGATATGAACTAGAACATATTTCTAGGTTAAATCTGTCTAGAAATCACTTTCTTTCGTGCTGTATTTTTCTCCTTTGGTGATTATTCCTAGTTTAAATAATCTTGCCATAAACTTTTGTTGGAAGTTTTCTTTTTCATTAAACAAAGTAAGGTGTTTTTGTTTTTGTTTTTGAGACGGAGTCTCACTCTGTTACCAGGCTGGAGTGCAGTGGTGCGATCTTGGCTCACTGCAAGCTCTGACTCCCTGGTTTAAGCGATTCTCCTGCCTCAGCCTCCCCAGAAGCTGGGATTATAGGTGCCTGCCACCATGCCCAGATAATTTTTGTATTTTTAGTAGAGAGGGGGTTTCAACATATTGGCCAGGATGGTCTCGATCTCTTGACATTGTGATCTGCCCGCCTTGGTGTCCCAAAGTGCTGGGATTGCAAGCGTGGCCCACTGCTCCTGGCCAAAGTTTTTTTTTCAATATATATTTTTTTCGTTGTATTTTCTTTCCCCCATTATCAACTAGATATGTTCTAATTTCCTTTTTTTGTGATTCTGAGTCAGTATTCTCAGTGGAGGGAAAAATGAGTTGGGGCTAAACGCAGGTCCCATCTGGAATCCTTATCTTGGCACAATTTTTCCTCTGTGTTTGTTGAAGTGGCTGCTAAAGGTGCAGCTTTCTATGTCCAGGCTTTATTGTGTCCTGCCTCCATTTTAGAGATACTGTATGTTTCTGGCACCAGTCCTCTTTCTAATCATACAGAACCACTTCTCTCCTCTCTTCTTCATAGCAAGGAACTCACACTAAGCCACATGCGGCATCTTAAGTGCGGGTACCAGAGTCATTGTGGGAGATGCCCACAACCATCAACTCTATTTTTCAGGGTTCTTGATTTTTGGCAATAGAAGTGTATGCCAGGGGGGTGAGCCATATCTTCTGTGGCCTCCCACATCATGAATATAATTCTCTCCAGTTGGATGGTAACTGCTAATTCTCTATGACACAGTTTCACATTGTTCTCCAATAAGAAAGTTGTTTATTTAGTTTTTGCTGTAGTTATGGCTCTACTTGTCTTTTACCTAGGAAAATGATCTCTTGAAATTTCTCATGTGTGAGTGGGATCCTTCTCTCAGTTTACGGGTTTTATCAATTTATCTCATATTTTTTTCTTATTCATCTAAATATGTTAGAGATCAGAGCCAGTTCAGCTTCTGTGTTCACAGAGTTACCCAATCTAGAAGGTTCTGTTTGGTTTTCCATATTTCTACAAACCTAACTATATGTTTTTTGAAGAATACATAAGGTGTCTTAAATTTTGGAACTTCCTTTTTTCTTACTTTTGCCATTTCTTGTGTGTATTCTCTCAGTATTTAGCTTAGAATTTTTAAAAGGAAAGGCCTCACATCCCAGAAATGGGTATAATTATGTCCCACTCTGTTGTGTGGCTTAGCAGAGACAATATCCCCTACCTCCCGACCAAGGGCGAGAGTAGGAGGTAAGTTAGTCTGCAGCAGGACATAAAGCTGGAACCTATCTAGGAGGTGAAGGAAGAGAGGCTATCATAAGTTTGAGAGGTGCTGTCAGGTTTAATTGTATTAATAAACGTATCTGTTTAGCTTCTTGGTAGAGATTTAGACAAGGCATAGACAAACATTTTCTGTAAAGGGTCAGATAGTAAATTTGTTAAACTCTACAGGCCACATGGTCTCTTTCATAACTATTTGACTGTGCTGTTGTTTCCTGAGCGTGGAAGACAGCCATAGACAGGAAGTAAACAATGGGGCTTGGTCATGTTCCAGTGAATCTTTAATTACAAATATACGTAGTGAGCCAGAATGGACCCATGGTTCATTGACTCTTGATTTCAATAGAAATATTTGAATTATAACTATTTAATAACTATTAAAAAACAAATAATGTTTGAATATTAACAGGCCTTAGAAAGCAAATATTGAATTTATTACCTACTTACTTTTGGATAAATTAGATTAGTACAATGAAAGCATGGATTATATATACATGTGATATGGTATGTGTGGTATGATTGATATATATATGTGTGTGTGTTTGTGTATATATGCATTCAAATATATACCGCAAGTACTGTGCCTGGTATATACTAGGAACTCAATTAGTATTGGTTTTACAAATGTCAGTAAATGACACTAACAATCCATTCTGTTGCTCACAATACTTGGAATTATTATTGACATGTCTTTCTTGAGTCCCCTTGACACTCAAAATCCTTTATTCTAAGATACATATATTCATAGTGAACTTTAGTTCTACCCCACCCAGTACATTTTCTATCACTGGAGCTTGCCATCCTCCAGTCTCTTTCAGCCTTTCTCTTGAATCCCACTACCTGGTCCTCAGTCTCTTCACTGTCACTACACCCCTAAACCTCACTGTATATTTGGCTGCAGAAATTTTCTTAAACTATTGCCATAACATGAAGTACATACTTCGAACTTCTAAGCCTCTTGGACTCCTTGGTATGTCCTTACATCCTTTAACTTGTATACTTATTGTGCATTGTCTCCCACGCATGAAATGTCATTCTTTCTACTCCCATGCATAAAATGCCAATATTGTGTTTTTGAGGCCCAGAAAATGTCTTTATAGATAGATCATGGAACCCTCAGATATTTCTCACTTTTGCTATCTCTTCTTTCCCTCTTTTATGATGTTCAGAACTCTCTCCATGGGCTACTTGAGTCCAGGGACATTATTTAATCATATAGGCTTCCTTTCAGTCTACATTGACAAGGGAGTAAGTTCCACATGGCTCCTTTCTGATTTGCCCAGCCCTCTGGGGAAGGGTATTTAATGTCTTTACTATCCAATTCCCTTCGTGACGTAACAATTCATACCGTTTATTTCCCCTCACCAGTAGGGAAGACTCCTTAGCTCCAGGCTTACAGGTGGTACCCTGGCAAGGTCATTCACTACAGAAAGCAAACATTCTATTTGCATAGAGCCACTTGAAGTCCCATGAGATCTGGTCTCTGCAGGATAGACTCCAATGTTCCCAATTGAGCCTGGGATCTTCACGACTATGACCAAGTCTGAAGAACATCTGCAGAGTCGCTTCTGCCTAGAGTGTGCATTAGAGACACATTCTATCGGCTCAGATGCATAAAGTTATTATAGGAGCCATCATACTTTTTCCAGAAAATATAAGAGGTCTCTGGTTCTCTGACATTGTACCAGAGGAACTCAATCTGATTACTCATAAAGACCCTTTGAGTTTCTTTTTTTTATTATTTCAATAGGTTTTTGGGGAACAGGTGGTGTTTGGTTACATGAATAAGTTTTAAGCGGTCATTTCTTAGATTTTGGTGCACCCATTACCTGAGCAGTGTACACTGTACCCAATGTGTAGTCTTTTATCCCTCACCTCCTCCCATCCTTTTCCTCAAGTCTCCAAAGTCCATATTATTCTTAGGCCTTTGCATCCTCATAGCTTAGCTTCCACTTATGAGTGAGAACATATGATGTTTGATTTTCCATTCCTGAGTTACTGCACTTAGAATAATGGTCTCTGATTCTATCCAGGTTGCTGCAAATGCCCTTATTTCATTCCTTTCTATGGCTGAGTAGTGTTCATCTATCTATCTATCTTCTATCATCTATCTATCTATCTATCTATCTATCTATCTATCTATCTATATCATCTATCATCTATCTATCTATCTTCTATCTATCTATCTATCTATCATCTATCTATCTATCTATCTATCATCTATCTCTCTATCTATCTATCATCTTCTATCATCTATCTATCTATCTATCTATCTATCTATCTATCTATCTATCTATCATCTATCATCTATCTATACATACACACACATACACACACACATATATATACATATATATACCACATTTTCTTTATCCACTTATTGATTGATGGGCATTTGGGCTGGTTCCATATTTTTCCAATTGTGAATTGTGCTGCTATAAACATGTGTGTGCAAGTATCTTTATTAGTATAATGACTTCTTTTCCTCTGGGTAGATACTTAGGAGTAGGATTGCTGGATCAAATGGTAGATCTACTTTTAGTTCTTCAAGGAATCTCCACAGTTTTCCATAGTGGTTGTACTAGTTTACATTCCCACTAATAGTGTAAAAGTGTTCCTTTTTCACCACATTCATGCCAACATCTATTATTTTTTGATTTTTTGATTATGGCTATTCTTGTAGGAGTCAGGTGGTGTTGCATTGTGGTTTTGATTTACATTTCCCTGATCATTAGCGATGTTAAGCATTATTTTCATATGTTTGTTGGCCATTTGTATACTTTCTTTTGAGACTTGTCTATTCGTGTTCTTAGCCCACTTTTTGATGAAATGGTTTTGTGTTTTTTTGGTGATTTGTTTGAGTTCTTTGTAAATTCTGGATATTAGTCTTTTGTCAAATGTATAGATTGAGAAGATTTTCTCCCACACTATGGGTTATCTGTTTACTCTGCTGATTATTTTTGCTGTGCAGAAGCTTCATAATTTAATTAAGTCCCATCGATTTAACTTTGTTTTAGTCGTGTTTGCTTTTGGGTTCTTGATCATGAAGTCTTTGCCTAAGCCAATGTTTACAAGGGTTCTTCCAATGTTATCTTCTCAAATTTTAATGTTTTCATGTCTTCAGTTTAAGTCTTTGATCCATCTTGAGTTGACTTTTGTATAAGGTGACAGATGAGGATTCAGTTTCATTCTTCAACATGTGGCTTGCCAATTATCCCAGCACCATTTGTTGAACAGGGCGTCCTTTCCCCACTTTATGTTTTTGTTTGCTTCGTTGAAGATCAGTTGTCTGTAAGAATTTGGCTTTATTTCTGAGTTCTCCATTCTGTTCCTTTGGTGTATATGCCTGTTTTTATATCAGTATCATGTTGTTTTGTATAGCATTGTAGTACAGTTTGAAGTCGGGTAGTGTAATGCCCCCAGATTTGTTCTTTTTGCTTAGTCTTGCTTTGGCTACGCAGGCTCTTTTTTGGTTCCATATGAATTTTAGGATTTCTTTTTCTAATTCTGTGAAGAATGATGGTGATATTTTGATGGGAATTGCATTGAATTTGTAGATTGCTTTTGGCAGTATGGTCATTTTCACAATGTTGAGTCTACACATCCATGAGCATGAAATGTGTTTCCATTAGTCTGTGTCATCTCTGATTTTGTTCAGCAGTGTTTTGTAGTTTTCCTTGTAGAGGTCTTTCACCTTTTTGGTTAAGTATATTCCAAAGTATTTTATTTTTTTTGCAGCTATGGTAAAAGGGGTTGAGTTCTTGATTTGATTCTCAGCTTGGTCGCTGTTGGTGTATAGCAGAGATAATGATTTGTGTATATTAATTTTGTATCCTGAAACTTTGCTGAATTCACTTACCAGTTCTAGGAGCTTTTTGGATGAGCCTTTAGGGTTTTCTAGGTATATGATCATGTAACCAGCCAACAGCGACACTTTGACTTCCTCTCTACTGATTCAGATGCCCTTTATTTCTTTCTCTTTTCTGATTCCTCTGGCTAGGACTTCCAATACTATGTTGAACAGAAGTAGTGAAAGTGAACATCCTTGTCTTGTTCTAGTTCTCAGGGAAAATGCTTTCAACTTTTGCCCATTCAGTGTAATGTTGGTTGTGGGTTTGTCATAGATGGCTTTTATTACCTTAAGGTGTGTCCCTTCTATGCCGATTTTGATGAAGGTTTTAATCATAAAGGGATGCTGGATTTTGTCAAATTCTTTTTCTGCATCTATTGAAATGATCATGTGATTTTTTTGTTTTTAATTTTGTTTATGTGGTGTATCACATTTATTGACTTGCATATGTTACACCATTCCTGTATCCCTGGTATGAAACCCACTTAATCATGGTGTTATCTTTTTGATATGCTGTTGGATTTGGTTAGCTAGTATTTTGTTGAGAATTTTTCCGTCTATGTTCATCAGGGATATTGGTTGTAGTTTTCTTTTTTTGTTATGTCCTTCCCTGGTTTTGGTATTGGGGTTATACTGGCTTCAATAAAATGATATGGGAAGGGTTCCTTTTTTCTGTATCTTTTGGAATAGTGTCAATAGAATTGGCACCTATTCTTCCTATTCTTCTTTAAATGTCTGATAGAATTCAGCTGTGAATCTGTCTGGTCCTGGACTTTTTTGTTGTTGGTGGTGACTTTTTAATTACCATTTCAGTCTCTCTGCTTGTTGTTAGTCTGTTCGGATTTTCCATTTGTTCTTGGTTTAATCTAGGAGGGTTGTACATTTCTAGGAATTTATTCATCTCCTCTAGGTTTTCTAGTTTCTGCATATAAAGGTGTTCATAGTAGCTTTGAATGACCTTTTGTAATTCTGTGCTATCAGTTGTAATATCTCCCATCTTATTTCTAATAGCACTTGTTTGGATCTTCTCTCTTCTTTTCTTGGTTAGTCTTGCTAATGGTCTATCAATTTTACTTAACTTTTCAAAGCACCAGCTTTTCGTTTCATTTATCTTTTGTATTTTTGTTGTTGTTGTTTGTTTCAATTTCATTTAGTTCTGATCTGAGCTTGGTTATTTCTTTTCTTCTGCTGGGTTTGAATTTGGTTTGTTCTTGTTTCTCTAGCTCTTTTAGTTGTGACCTTATATTGTCTCTTTCTGTTCTTTCAGACTTTTGGATGTAGGCATTTAATGCTATGAACTTTCCTCTTAGCACCACCTTTGCTGTATCCCAGAGGTTTCGATAGATTTTGTCACTATTATTATTCAGTTCAGTTCAAATAATTTTTTAATTTTCATCCTGATTTCATTTTTGACCCAATGATCATTCAGGAGGAGGTTAATTTCCATGTATTTGCGTGGTTTTGAAGGTTCTTTTTGGAGTTGATTTCCAATTTTATTCCACTGGGGTCTGAGAGAGTAGTTATATTAATTTTGATTTTCTTAAACTTTTTGAGACTTGTATTGTGGCCTATCATACGGTTTATTTTGGAGAAGGTTCCATGTGCTGATGAATGGAATGTGTATTCTGCAGTTGTTGGGTAGAATGTTCTGCAAATATCTGTAAAGTCCATTTGTTGTAGGGTATAGTTTAAGTCCATTTTTTCTTTGTTGACTTTCTGTTTTGGTGACCTATTTAGTATTTAGTGCTGTCAGTAGAGTACTGAAGTCCGCAACTATTACTGCATTATTACTGTGTTGCTGTCTATCTCATTTCTTTTTTTCTTGTTTTTTACTTTTTCTTTTTTTTTCTTTTTGAGAGGGAGTCTCACTCTGTTGCCCAGGCTGGAGTGCAGTGGCACAATCTCAGCTCACTGCAACCTCCGCCTCTTGGGTTCAAACAATTCTCCTGCTTCAGCCTCCCAAGTAGGTGGGATTACAGGTGTGTGCCACCACATCCAGCAATTTTTGTATTTTTAGTAGAGACGAGGTTTCACCATGTTGGCCAGGCTGGTATCGAACTCCTGACCTCAGGTGATCTGCCCACCTTGGCCTCCTATAGTGCTGAGATTACAGGCATGAGCCACCATGCCTGGCTTATCTCATTTCTTAGGTCTAGTAGTAATTGTTTTATAAATTTAGGAGTTCCTATGTTAGGTGCATATAGATTTAGGATTGTGATATTTTCCTGTTGGACTAGACCTCTTATCGTTATATAATGTCCCTCTTTGTCTTTTAAAACTGCTCTTGCTTTAAAGTTTGTTTCATCTGATATAAAAATAGCTATTCCTGCTTACTTTTGGTGTCCATTTGCATGGAATATCTTTTTCCACCCCTTTACCTTAAGTTTATATGAGTCCTTATGTGTTAGGTGAGTCTCTTGAAGACAGCAGATACTTGGTTGGTGAATTATTCATTCTTCCATTCTGTATCTTTTAAGTGGAGCATTAAGGCCATTTACATTCAATGTTAGTATTGAGATGTGAGGTACTTGCCTATTCTTCATGCTATTTGTTGCCTGAATACCTTGGTGTTTTTCATTGTTTTGTTGTTTTATAGTTCCTGTGAGATTGTTGCTTTAAGGAGATTCTATTTTGGTGTATTTCAAGGATTTGTTTCAAGATCTAGTGTCCCTTTTAGCAGTTCTTGTAGTGCTGGTTTGGTAGTGGCAAATTTGTTTAGCATTTGTTTATATGGGAAAGACTATCTTTTCTTCCTTTATAAAGCTTAGTTTTGCTGGATACAAAATTCTTGGCTGATAATTCTTTTGTTTAAAGAGGCTAAAGATAGGATCCCAATCCCTTCTAACTTATAGGGTTTCCACTGAGAAATCTGCTGTTACTCTAATAGATTTTCCTTTATAGGTTACCTGATCCTTTTGCCTCACAGCTTTTAAGATTCTTTTCTGCATCTTGACTTTAGATAACCTTATGACTATGTGATGTAAGTAAGCAGGAATAGCTATTTTTATATCAGATGAAACAAACTTTAAAGCAAGAGCAGTTTTAAAAGACAAAGAGGGACATTATATATGAATTAATTTTGTGATTAATTTCCCAGGTGTTCTTTGAACTTCTTGTATTTGGATGTTTAGATCTCTAGCAAGGCCAGGGAAGTTTCCCTCAATTGTTCCCTCAAATATATTTTTCAAACTTTTAGATTTATCTTCTTCCTTGGATGAAGATATTATTCTTAGGTTTGGTAGTTTAACATAATCCCAAACTTCTTGGAGGTTTTGTTCCCAAACTTCTTGGAGGCTCTGAAATTCTTTGTTCTACTTGTTTGATTCTACTGCTGAGAGCTTCCAGCGCATTTTACAATTCTCTAAGTGTGTCCTTCATTTCCAGAAGTTGTAATTGTTTTTTATTTATGCTAACTATTTCACTGAGATTTTTCCATGCATATTCTGTATCATTTTTTTGATTTCTTTAAGTTGGACTTCTCTGGTGGACACCTTTCTCTGATGTCTCCTTGATGGGCTTAATAGTTGACTTTCTAACTTCTTTTTTTGGCAATTCAGAGATGTTGTCTTGGTTTGGATCCATTGCTGGTTATCTAGTGTGATCTTTTGGGGGTGTTAAAGAGCCTTGTTTTGTCATATTACTGGAATTGTTTTTTTGGTTCCTTCTCATTTGGGTAGACTATGTCAGAGGGGAGATCTGGGGCTCAAGGCTTCTGTTCAGATTCTTTTGTCCCACAGGGTGTTTTCTTTATGTGGTGTGCTCCCCTTTCCTCTAGGGATGGGGCTTTCTCAGAGTAGAACTGCAGTGACTGTTATTTCTCTTCTGGATCTAGCCACCCAGTGGAGCGACTAGGCTCTGGAATAGTATTAGACAGTGTTTGCAAAGAGCCCTGTGATGTGATCCATCTTCAGGTCTCTCAGCTGTGGATAGCAGCACCTGCTCTGGAGAAAGTAGCAGGGGAGTGAATTAGACTCTATGAGGGTCCTTGGTTGTATTTTTGTTAAGTGCACTGGTTTTGTATTGGTTGGCCTTCACCCAGGAGGTGGCACTTTCAAGATCACATCAGCTCTGGTAGTATAGGGAGGTGCAAGTGGTGGGTGGAGCCATAGAGCTTCCAAGAGATTATGTCCTTTGTCTTCAGCTACCAGGGTGGGTAGAGAAAGGCCATTAAGTGGGCAGGGTTAGGCATGTCTGAGCTCAGACTCTCTTTGGGTGGGGCTTGCTTGCGGCAGCTGTTGTGTGAGATGGTGGCGTGGTTCCCAGGCCAATGGAGTTATGTTCCCTGGAGGATTATGCCTCTGCTCTGTCACACGGGTCACTAGGGAAGTGGGGGAAAGTTGGCAGCCACAGGTCTCGCCCAGCTCCCATGCAGCCGACAGCCCTAAAGGCTGGTCTCACTCCCACCGTGCCTCCCAACAGCACTCAGTTTTTTTCCAGGCAGCCGGTGAGCAGGACTGAGAACTTGCCCCAGCTGACTCACAGTTCCTAAGCTGTCCTGTGGAGCCTGCAGCAGCAGTCCACCTCCTGCAAAGGGTCTGTGGATTCTCTCAGCTTTCCTGGTATGTTCCTGTGATAGCTCTTGGAGCAAAAGTTTAAGATGTGGGTCTCCACATGCTGCTCTGTCTGTCCGAGTGGAGTTAGCTGCAAGTTAGTCCTGCCTCATATCCGCCATTTTCTCCCTTATCCCTTTGAGTTTCTGAATCAAAACATGAATCAAGCTTTAGGGAAGCCACTTTACACTCAGCACAGTTTATTCGCCTGGCTGAACATGTCCGGTGGTATGCATTTGGAAGTCAAGGCTGGTCCTTTGAAGGGATGCACATGCTCTTCCAAGGGCACAGGGTGACTCCATAAAGGCAGCATCTTGTTCTCTCAGGGGAGCACTGACTGCCTGTGAGTCCCTGCTCAGGCTCTTCCTTCCCTACATAGACATCTGTGGTAAGGTCTGGATCTACCTGGGCACTCTAGCACATGTCCCCATTGCAGTCCGGACAGGCCCCCAGTGTTATATTTTAGGGAGTTTCTCAAGCCTCTTTGGAAGAGACATTGTTTACTGCTAGGCTCTTAGAGGTCTAAAGCATGTATGATTGTTCCCCAGCCTTCTGACTGGTAGTACCATTCAGTGTCAGACCTCTGCTGCACAGTACTTGGCTGTGGTTTCTCCTGATGGATCTGGAAAGTGGCTCCAAACAGTTAGAGTGTGTTAGAATTCCCTGAAGATCCTTTTAACAATGCAGATATGTGAAGTCCAGCTCCAGAGTGTCTGAATCAGTCTGTGGGAGTAGAACCTGGGAATCTGCAATCTAACAATTTGTCAGCTGATTCTGAATGAGATGGTACAGAGATCATATATTTAGAAATGTTGAACAGTGGAATAGACTGAGATTCAGAGGCCCAAAGGAATAAAAGACTGTGTCTCTGGTGATGGAGAGGCAGGCACAGGTAGAGGTGTTTCGAGATCATTGCTGACTGGGTAAATCCCATCTAACACCCTTCTGGAATCTTTTAAAGCAAGCAATATTAAGGCAAGATCTGAACAGTTTATTTCCTCCCCATTTGAGGTCTGAAAGAATAGCTGCACCTCAGCCCCAGTAGGTCAGGGTGACTAGCCCTGGGAGCATCGGCCCTGAACAAAGAAGAGGTTCAGGGAACTAGGAATGAGTTATTTGTTCCTGTTTCAGGGTATGGTTCTTGGAGGTAGTTGGGACTTCAGAGGGTAGATGTGAGTACTTTAAAACTCAGAAGAGAAGGAGCACAGGGCTAGGCTCGGCTCCATGTGAACTTAGAGAACTTGTCTTGGAATGCTGTAAGGATGATTTCCTTTGGTTTGGAAATGTAGAATATTTTTTCTCACTAGCAGTCACCCAGTTTGTTTGGCTTGACTGCTCTATTGATTGGCAAGTCTTTCTGTATATGGATTATAGATTTAGTTGCCTGAATAAAATACAGAAAGCCATGGTCTAATACAAGCAGGGTATCTGAAGACTATTTTTATACTTGCAGTGGTGGGTAAACAGGCAATCTGATTCAAGGCCTTGGCCAGAAATAGCATGCTGCTACATATCTAGATTGCTCAGTAAACTGCAGTGGGATGAAGGAGAGGGGGAAGAGCTAAAGTGTAAAGCTCGAGCCCCTTCATGTGAGTTGGGTGAGAAAAAGGGGGCTAGATCCAGTGGAAGTGCTTGGAGGATGCCTTGTTGGCAAGTGAAGCTGACCATCTGAAAACAGTTCATGTTGAGTATTAGGAAATCTTATTTCAGGAGAATGGAGTGTGCTGGGAAAGAGACCAAACACAGAGATATGGCTTGAATAACAGCCAGGGAATTGGCACCCAGGAAGTTGCTAATGCTTATATGTGATACATACTGCTGGGGTCCAGTGGGGGATGACAGGGTTCATTTGTGCAAGACAGGGCACTATGTAGGCACGGTGGGCCAGGCAAGGTGTGGGGAGTGATGTGGAAAAGCAGGAGACTGAGTCCTGCTCTTGAGTTAGGCTTCATTCTGCAGCCTGGGCAGAAAGATGAAATGATATGAGCGCAATCTTGGGAATCAGACAAAGAACTCGCTCAAGTCATGCCCATTGGTTTTATAATTAAATCAATTTCTGTAATGCACATTGCCACTTAACTTTGTGTACCCTCACCCCCTCCAGTTTTAACTGTTCCACCTTCTGCTTGTTCGTAACTCTGTCTTCCCTAGAGTATTCAAAAGATCCCCTAGAACCTACACTTTGTGTCTTGTTAATCATCTTAAAGTTCATAGCTGCTGAAAACAAAATCTTCCTTGATGTACAGCCTTACTTAATTTCACTTGCAGCCTCTGTCATGTTGTAGTTCACTAGCTTACTATAAATCTCGTGAAAATTGCTTGTAATCTTTTACCAGCTACTGCTCCCCATTCATTCGATGCTGACTTGTGGGAGTTTACTCTTCACTCACAGTTTTTAGATGACAGCACATTAAACAGAGTCAATTTAGAGTTCATCTTTTCCCTCCTTTGCTTCCCTAATGAATAGAAAAGTCATATTTATATGTCTAGAGAGATAACCTGGGATTTGGAATTCTGATATCGAGAGCTGAGAGCGAAAGCATTAACAAACCCATGTGTAAATTCTCAGTTCTATTGCAGAACTTTTAGGACAGTTTCTTTCCTGAGAGAATTGAAGGTTATCTTTTGAGAAGCCAACTGAGGGAAATGATGTTTGGATGATGGCAAGCCTTTTTATTTCTCCCACTGGAGCTCAGTAGTCCATAATTGCAATCTTTCATTGAGAAGTTCAACCTGTGGTTTGACATAGGCTGGTTCATAATCTGCGTAGGTTAGAAGAGAAATAGTGTCTAAGATGAGATGTTTGTTGCTATATGATTCATGATTTTATTCAATTCAGTAGTTTTACTGAATATCTGCTTTATGCAATAATTTGTTTAGGTATAAGAAATTCAAATATTAGTAAAAGAAAATGTGCTTTGGGTGTGGAACATTTATTGTGGGCCTCTAACCACCAGGTACTATGCTATATGCCAGTTACAAATATGCCATTTTTTAATGATGAACTTTAAAGGTACTGTTTTTCTGCAAGAAATTGTTTCGTTAAAGTTAAAAAATTTATACAACTCAATACAGACATCTTAGTGGCAGATAATCTATGACTCAGGATTTTCATAACAGAAAAATATTGCACTTCTGCCCCAGGCTACATCTGTATATCTATATCTATATTTGTATCCACCTGTCTGTCCACACATATCTCTATCAACAGTCTTGGCAATAATAAAAACAAAGTACAACACAAATGTGGTCATCAGCAGTAAAAATATATAGATATGCATATAAAATTATGTTCTGCTTATTCAATTATATATATATATATATATATTTTTTTTTTTTTTTTTTTTTTTTTTGAGACGGAGTCTCACTCTGTCGCCCAGGCTGGAGTGCAGTGGCGCGATCTCGGCTCACTGCAAGCTCCGCCTCCTGGGTTCACGCCATTCACCTGCCTCAGCCTCCCGAGTAGCTGGGACTACAGGCGCCCGCCACCACGCCCGGCTAATTTTTTGTATTTTTAGTAGAGACGGGGTTTCACCGTGTTAGCCAGGATGGTCTCGATCTCCTGACCTCGTGATCCGCCCGCCTCGGCCTCCCAAAGTGCTGGGATTACAGGCGTGAGCCACCGCGCCCGGCCTCAATTATATTTTTTTACAACAGTGAAAATGAATGAACCAAAGTGACATGAACCAATATGGATGAATCTCAAAACATCGTATCAAGTAAAAAAAAATACTCTCAACTAGATGAGATGCATAGAATGGTTTTATTTATGAGAAGATTTAAATAAGGAAAAATAAACAATGTAATATTTAGGATACTTTCACATATGATAAAACTATATAAATACAAAACTGATTAGTTAGCAGAAATTTGGGAAGTATCTACCTTGGTGGAAGAGGGTAGAGGATGCAGCTGGGGAGAGATAGATATTGAGTTTCAAAGGTATTGACATGTTCTAGTAAGTTCAGCTAAGGGCAAATAAAATATTTTGTTATTATGATTAAAGAATATACCTTTTTTGTAGGATGGTATTTTTACAACTGAAAACACTTAAAAACAGGTAGAACTGTGATTTTTGCTCATCTCTTTCGGACTCGTACTCAAAACTGGCTGGCTATAACAAGCTGATAGTTGTGAAGATGAGGATGGGGGTGGGGAGAAATCCAGCACTATCATGGAAACTTAGAGCTAGGAGGTGATATTTTTCCCCTTTCAGCCTTTGCTATCTGAGTGACCTTTTCCAGGTCTCTTAATCTTTGGGCCTCAGTCCCTTTATTATAAATTGATTCTCATTTTCTCCTCTTCTCAGAGAACCTGAGTCCTGGCAATAATTTTTAGTACCTTGCAATGAGATGATAGTATATTATAACCTCTAAAGTCTAGTTTTAAATATGTGTACAGTATTCTAGAAATATATCCACTAATGTGCTGATTTTTAAAAGCTCCATTCTAATTGGGTCCATCAACATTTTCTGAAACAATTTAGAGTCTCTGGTGACAATTGCATCTAGATTGAAGCACATACATCTGTCTACAGAATTCTCTTTCTTCTCTATTTGATGACCAACATTCTTATCAACCTTCCTCATTAACTGAAAACTTTGTTTTGCTTACAATAGTTCTCTCTATCCCAACTTGTACCTTGATTGTCAGTGGCTACATGGTCTGAAAAGATGAAATACCTAAAAATTTAGATTAAGTTTCTTTGAACCTTGGCTTCCTCAACTCCATCAAAATTTTTCATTGCATTTTAGCTGGTTTTTTTTTTTTTAGTAGCCTCATCCTGGGGTTTACATTTCTATTTTTTAATCTAATTTACTTAAATACTCTTCACTTTAGCCTCATGGAAACCTGCAAGCAATGACTCCACAACTTTCTCACAACTTGTTAAAATCCTCTGGCTTTATTTTGCTGCTGCTTGTTCACCTGGATTCTATGGCTTATTATTACAATACACCCTGGGAAATACCTTCCACTCCCTTGCCTCCTTCCACCACTTCATATGTCTGGAAAAACCTACAGTGTTCATTCTCACATGGGGAAATATTCCAGGCAGAGATAACACTATATACAATGTCCTTGAGTGGAAGTTTCAAACCAGTCAAGCCCCTGATTACACATGGAACCCTCAGCCTGGCCCATACCCTAACCACCATAAAACCCCACTAGTTTTCTTTGTTTGTTCCCTCAAGCCATTTTTGGATCAGACTGGGAGACCTGTCCTGCTCTCACCAGAAGCCTTCATTATGTAAGTAACAAATCTTCTCATACCTTCTTGCTCTGTGTGTGGTGCCATCAGTCTCAACATCCAAACCAAATTTTGAATGGCCTGCATCTGTGGTCACAGAGTGGACACAGCAAACAGGCTCAGATGGACCTCTGAGGCAGGAACCACAGGATTTGGTATCTTGTGGGCAATAAAGAGGGATTAGATTTTTTTTTTGACCATGGCAGAATTGTAAAATGTTTGCTTTGATTGTTTAAGGAAAGTTGCCTGTGGAGATGTAAACATGAACACAGCAGTGCAGTTATGAAGTAACTGGCACTGGTTCAGTCGAGGGACGGTAGTGGCTTGGCTTAAAATGGGAGCTGTATAGGGCACCGTATACGTTGAAAGAAGATTAGCTGAACCCTGCCATGGCAGGGGACACTGAAAGGAACAGATCTCAGGTTAGGGTGAGGATATTCAAGAGTTTTCTTTTGGCAAATTTAATTTGAGATGCCCACTAGACATCCAGATAGAGATGCAGAGTATGCAGTAGGATACAGAAGTCTGGAGCTCAGGGTTGGTGGGAAACTTAGATCATGGGCTAAAACTGACAGAAAATTACTTATAAAGGCCATAACATCTATTTAAAGGCAATTTACACATGAAATTAAGGCCTAATATATGTGAATAACATGCATTAAATTTTTTTTTCTTCCAGCTTTATTGAAGTATAATTGACAAAAATTTGTATAATTTTAAGGGGTAAAATGTAATGTTTTGATATACATATACATTGTAAAATAATCACTACAATCAAGCTAAGTAACATATTTATTACTTTACCTGGTTGCCATTTTGTCTCTGTGGTGAGAACAGTTAAGATCTACTGTCTTAGTAAATTTTAAGTATGCAATAGAGAATTTTAATTATAGTCACCATGCTATTCATTAAATTTCCAGAACTTATTAATCCTGTAAAACTGAAACTTTGTGCCCTTTATCCAACAATTACATTTTTTTGTGAGTTAGTTCTTAAAACCATGACATTATTGTAAAAGTATGTACTGGCAAAAATTTGAGGTTAAGTTAAAAAGTCTTGGAGACATTCCTTGATACTAATTATGGCTAGCTTTATTGACATTCTCAGTTATCTTTTATACGTTTGGCTTTTATAAATATCTATATTTAAAGGCTTTAAAATTCATCTCAATGCTAATGCACTTATATTAAAAGATAAACAGTTGTTCTAGAGCCCATGAAACTAAAGAATTATATGAGAGTTATTTGGAAAAGAAAAACTCAAAACTTCTACTTGTTACTGTTTTGCCTTTCATTGCTATTGTCAGTTACTTGTATAAAATTCTGTCTAAATTATTACGTGTTCTATGTTTTATGGTCCCTAATATGTCTCCCATTGGAAAGATTAAAGTGTTTTCTTCTGTTTTACAGATTAATAATGCTGCATTCCTATATTAATAGGAAGTGTCTTCTGTTCCTATATAATAACAACATAACTAAAAGGAATTTGGGCCAAAAGTAAAAAGAAATTAATACTAGCTTCTCTGAAGTGGATACATTGGCTGATTCTGTAGCTCAAGCAGTGGTCTTTTGCTTTTTGTTTTCTTATTTGAAACATAGTTTGTTTTTTAATTTTAAAAAGCGTGTGTGTGTGTGTGTGTGTGTGTGTGTGTGTGTGTGTATGCTGTACCTGTCTATGCTTTGCTTTCCTGACAGGAAAATATACAAGATCAATATCAAATATAAGAACAAACATTGTGGAAATTCTTTATGTCCAAGCACTTTGATGAGCACTGGTTAAAAGAGTGGTAGCTCTTCTTCCTATTTTTATTCACAAGTTCTCCATCTTGGGTGAATGAAGGAAGGATGATCCTTCAAAATGGAATACATTGGTTTGCCTCAAATTTTATGTAAATTTATTAGGACTGTCCACTAATATGCCTTGTGCCTTATTTGTCAGACTCACAACATAGGGAAACCTGTTCAGACAGCTATTGGAATGTGATCAATCTCTTGGGTACTCTTCCAAACTTACCAAAAGATTTCATTAATATTCCAAGCTATAGGGAGATTAATGTGGTAAAGAGACCGTATGCCTCTTTTCTGGATTTCAGGAAGTGTTGATTATATTGTATTGATAAGGAAAATGTTAAATGTTTTAACTCTTTATTGGAAAGCTTGTATGCATTACAATCAAAGAAAAAAATTGTGTCATAGATCAGGCAGTAAAGAAAACTACTCATACATTTTAATGTAAATTAATTATGGCATTGTCCTGATTACCCTTAAAAGTGCAAGCAATTGAAAAAAGAAATAGAACTTTAAGGAAAGAAGCAAATATCTATGACTAACAGAATAAAATTGTTCAGAAGTCTTATCTTTTGCCATAAAAGAAAACCCCCATTCTGATCTAATTAAACTAAAGAGCTTCTGCACAGCAAAAGAAACCACCATCAGAGTGAACAGGCAGCCTACAGAATGGGAGAAAATTTTTGCAATCTACCCATCTGACAAAGGGCTAATATCCAGAATCTACAAAGAACTTAAACAAATTTACAAGAGAAAAACCAAACAACCCCATCAAAAAGTGGGCAAAGGATATAAACAGACACTTCTCAAAAGAAGACATTTATGCAGCCAAAAGACACATGAAAAAATGCTCATCATCACTGGCCATCAGAGAAATGCAAATCAAAACCACAATGAGATACCATCTCACACCAGTTAGAATGGTGATCATTAAAAAGTCAGGAAACAACAGGTGCTGGAGAGGATGTGGAGAAATAGGAACACTTTTACACTGTTGGTGGGACCGTAAACTAGTTCAACCATTGTGGAAGACAGTGTGGTGATTCCTCAAGGATCTAGAACTAGAAATACCATTTGACCCAGCGATCCCATTACTGGGTATATACCCAAAGGATTATAAATCATGCTGCTATAAAGACACATGCACATGTATGTTTATTGAGGCTCTATTCACAATAGCAAAGTCTTGGAACCAACCCAAATGCCCATCAATGATAGACTGGATTAAGAAAATGTGGCACATATACACCATGGAATACTATGCAGCCATAAGAAAGGATTAGTTCATGTCCTCTGTAGGGACATGGATGAAGCTGGAAACCATCATTCTCAGCAAACTATCACCAAGGACAGAAAACCAAACACTGCATATTCTCAGTTCAATTCATAGGTGGGAATTGAACAATGAGAACACTTGGACACAGAATGGGGAACATCACACACCGGGGCCTGTTGTGTGGTGGGGGTTGGGGGAGGGATAGCATTAGGAGATACACCTAATGTAAATGACGAGTTAATGGGTGCAACACACCAACATGGTACATGTATACATATGTAACAAACCTGTACGTTGTGTACATGTACCCTAGAACTTAAAGTATAATTAAAAAAAAGAAAAAAAAGAAATTAAAAAAAAAGAAAACCCCCATTCTAACTATAGTTGACCCTAGAGCAACATTTTTTTTGTTTGTTTGGCAAGGGTATGGACTGCATTTTATTACTCTCTGCATCTCCACATTTGATATAGTTCCTGAAATATATTAGGTGCTCAGTAAATGTTTACAGAAGCAGTGCAAGATGCACACACTTTAGAGTGGGGCTTGGTATTTCTCTGTTTTTTTTATATTTATTTTTTATATCTAGATGGGCTTTTATTGTTTTTTTTTTTCTTTTGACTTTTAGGTTCTGAGGTACATTTTGGTTTGTTATATAGGTCAGCTTGTGTCACAACGGTTTGGTATACAGATTATTTCACCACTCAGGTACTAAGCATAGTGTGTGATAGGTATTTTTTTCTGATCTTCTCCCCCTGCCCACCTTCTACCCTTGATTATGCCCAGTGTCTGTTGATCCCCTCTTTGTGTGCATGTGTTCTTGTTATTTAGCTCCTACTTATAAAGGAGAACATGTGGTATTTGATTTTCTGTTCCTGCATTAGTTTGCTAAAGATAATGGTCTCCAGCTCCATCCATATTGCTGCAAAGGATAGGATCTCATTTTTTTTATAGCTGCATAGTATTCTATGGTGTAGATGTACCACATTTTCTTTATCCAGTCTACTGTTAATGGGCATTTAAGTTGTCTTTGCTATGAACAACATGGGTTTGAACCATGAGTCTTCTTCTAGGTGGATTTCCTGTAGCCTCTGTCATTCCTGAGACAGCAAGGCCAACTCTTCCTTTTTTTCCTTCTCCTCAGCCTACTCAAAGTGAAGATGATGAGGATGAAGGCCTTTATAATGATTCACTTCTCTGTAATGAATAATATATATATTCTCTCTTATGACTTTCTTAATAACATTTTTTTCTAGCTTACTTTATTGTAAGAATACAGTATATAATACATATACAAAATATCTGTAAATTGACAGTTTATATTATTGGTAAGGCTTTGGTCAACAGCAGGCTGTTAGTAGTTAAGATTTTGGGTAGTGAAAAGTTATATATGGATTTTTGACTGTGCAGGGGGTTCACACTCTTCACCCCTACATTGTTCAAAGGTGAACTGTAATTGGATGTAGCCCACAATTATAATTATGTTTGATCAAAATCCTGAACGTGAAATTGCCAAACAAATAATGAAACTAAATTATAAATATCATGAAATCATAACCTTGTGTAGGTTTGGGGACTCAAATTTTGGATTAGTAGAAAACAATAGTTTTTGTTAGACCAGACTTATGACTCTTTGACAGCATTATTTCTCAAACTTTAGCTGATTTCTGGCCTATTTATTTACAGTCTGTTGTACATGTAAATAATCAGAGCTGAAGATCTCTCATCTGGACATAATTCTTAGGCCTAAAGACTCATTTAAAATAAAATTATTGGCTTCCATGAATTGCCTATTCTTTTCTAAATTTCATGATGAAGATACATGAAATAGGTTGAGCCAGAAGGCTGTCTTCTTTTTTTTGTTTTCTTTTTTGAGACGGAGTCTTGCTCTGTCACCCAGGCTGGAATGTAGTGTTGTGATTTTGTCTCCCTGAAATCTCCACCTCCTGGGTTCAGGCAATTTTCATGCCTCAGCCTCCCAAGTAGCTAGGATTACAGGCATGCACCACCACACCTGGCTAACTTTTGTAATTTTAGTAGAGATGGAATTTCACCATGTTGCCCAGGCTGGTCTTGAACTCCTGGCCTCAAGTGAATCGCCTGCCTCAGCCTCCCAAAGTGCTGGGATTACAGGCGTGAGGGACCACGACCGCCCAGAAGGCTGTCTTCTTAATCTGATCTTTATCACAGGACTGTCTCTCATTTCTGACAGAAGAATATCACAAGAAATGTTAGGAAAGGGATTGGTGCTACAATTTTATCTCCTTCTAAGTTTCTGTCTTCAGAGTTAGTAAACATACACACCAGCATGTACTAGATATTGCCTGCTTGTGCCTGTTGTCCTGAATGATTATTGATAGTACTTCCTTTCTCTCACAAATATAAACTGATTTGGATGATAAGCTATATGATCATCCCATTTCTAAATTGCATTTTATTGCTGATCCAGTCTGGGACAGACTTTGCCTAAGTTTATCTCTTTCTTGCAAGAGCGTTCCTAAAGTGGATAGGAACCTTGATGTACTGACATTGTTACTTTTACCAACTACTTCCTCTAGAGTTTAAATCAACAGGCTTGGCACTTGAGCTGCTTGTCTTTCTCTTTATGCAATAGTGTACCAGGGGTTACTGGATTTTCACCTTGCAATATGTGCCCAACCACTAAGCCAATGATAAACAATTTATATGTTACTTGGGAAACACCCAACTCTGGTCTAAATTCCTGTATTATTAAGGATAGACTTGTCTAACAAATAGATGTAAAAAGATAATCTATTGAAGCTCCACTCCTGACACAGCTGAGTAAGCTCCTAAAGACCAACTCTCCTATTATCTGGACAAAGTACGAAAACATAAAGGAATAATATTAAATAACCAACAACTCCATGGAGGTACTTGAAAATGCATAAAAACAGTAAGGTTCTGGAGGGGAGTCAATACTTGAAAGGAGAGAATGCTACATGATGATTTCCCCATTTTTACAGCTTTTAACCCAAAGGCTGTCCACAGTTGGTACATCACGGGGTAGCTAAAACTTCAATAGTCTTTCCAGAGGGCAGAAGTGAGAGCAATGCAGCAGCTGAAAAGTGAAGGAAAGGGAAAGGTAGAGGTGGAAATAGAGATAGGGATACACATGCACACACACACACACAGACACACACATATACAGAGAGAGAGAGAAAGAGAGAGAGAGAGCCCACACTCCACATTTACTCTGCCAAAATCTCTGGCTGACTCCTGAACCATGGTTGCTAGGCCAGATTGCAAGAAGCTCAATTAAGGATAAAAGAACTGAAATGAGATTTGAGCTGCTATTAAGGAGATATTTGCAGTTTGGGTCTATACAAATTAATTGCCTGCTAAAATGAACAAACAAAAAAAACATCATTTTTTGAGTAATTTACAAGGATCCAGAGTCTCTACAACATAAAATTCTCAGTGTCTAAGATATGACCCATAATAGCAAAGAAGCAGTAAAATGTAAAACATTCTCGAGACAGAAAAAAAAAAATGCAAGAGGTTCCAACTGTGAGATGACCCAGATGGAGTTAGCAGAAAGGGATTTTAAAGTGGCTGCTAAGCTACGCTCAGTGATGTAAAAGAAACATACATTGGTCAAAGAAAGTACAAACTATGTGAAAAGAACAAGACGTGATTTCTAAAACTGAGAAATGTAATACCTGAATTAAACAGTTCATTGGGTGGGCTTAACAGTAGAATGGAGGTGACAGAAGAATGAGTCTGTAAATATAAAGACGGATTATTTAAAATGATCTACTCTGAAGAACAGAGAACCAAAATGACCAAACCAAAATGACCAAACAAACATGACAAAGACATGGGGACTTCGGGGCCAGTATCAACAGTTCTAACATACAGGTATGTTTGGTTCAGGAAGGAAAGAAGAGGATAGACAATGGGGCAGGAAAAATTTGAAGAAATAACAGCCAGCTAAAAGCAGAAAATGATTCTCCTTATTCATGGGAACTTTAAATGCACATATTGCCTACTTCCCAGAACTGGGCAGTCGAGAGGCTTATGGTACAGAGTGTGTGGGCATGAGATGCCCGCATAGCTGAATCATCTCGTAGAACTCCTTTTGGCCAGTTTATCCGGCTGCCTGACACAGAACACACCGTGAGGAAGAAAAGCCTTCCATGAGAATCAATTCAGAATGACCTGGTATTCAAAGAACTTTATGAAAATGCATAAGTAAAGCCTTAGCAAGTCCACCCAAACTGAAATTTGACACAATCTATAAAGAGGTGCAAAGGGAACTTCAGAAAAAATCACTTAGCCTACCATGCAGAAGAGCGAAGAAGCCCTGGGCTCCCAAAGAGCTTGTAGATCCATGTGTTAGAGGGAAAAGAGAGTTCCAAGGACTTTTCTTCCTAATGAAGTTCTACCTCCCTGCCTTCCTGCCTTAGTAACACCATCACCATCACATCAATTATAAAACATTATCAACAACACAGGAAGTCATCATGTGCTAAAGATAAGTGACCCTAAAATTATGCAAGTCATTATTACTAATTAAGATATGTGGATATAATTTCTTTTCTATTTACTCTGCTGTCCCCCTTTTTTATGTATGTAATAAAATTAAAAAGATAAATATTTTCATACATTGAATTTTAATCTTTGTCTCTGCACCCTATGTTAATTTAGGTCCTTATGCTCTCCTATCATTTATAAAGACTTGAAATTTCAGGAATCTCACCCTAGGGTTTGGGGAGTGATTGCAACATTCTTGTATCTCATTTGGAAGTATAATGACTCCTTACAATAAAATCATGGAGAATAGAGGAATAAGTAGACTTTAATATGTTGATTTGTTTGACCAAGGCACCAGAGCTTCTAGTACCTTGCTGCTCCAAATATGTGTAGCACAACCTCAGTATCACCTGGGAGCTTGCTAAAGCTGCAAAATCCCAGGACCTGCTCCATACCTATTGAATCAGAATATGGATTTTAACAAGTTCTTTGGGTGATTCTTACAAACATTAAACTTTTAAAACCACTGGCCTAATTCAGTTTACCTTTCCCCTTTCAAAAAAGTATATACTTTAGACTAATTTAATCTCTACATTTTTATCTTTCACATGTTAATTAATTCTCTCTTTTGTATGTGGCATTTTATTATGTGGCCCTTAGCAAGCGGATGGCCAAGAAGATGGAGAGAATCAGCACACAGATAGCATAAACAATATAAGTTAAGAAATTTGCAGGACATGGGGAATGTACTCTAATGTTTTGAATGAGTTGATATCTAAAAGGGTGCAGCTCTCCTTAATATCTGATATATGTTTGAGTTATTGGCTAGGCATGCTCTATGAATTGATGCAGAAAATGTCAGGGTAGAAGTGGGGTAGGTGGTGATTGTGTAGAGAAGATGACAGGAAAAACCCTTGTCAAGCATTTTTACTCCAAGGAAGACTTGTAATGTAAGTGAAAGAGTTTTTAGTGTTTTTTAAAAAGTGGGTAAATTAGATGAAATTAAGGGGTCTGGTAGCCAGCAATCTGATGTTCCCTTGATCTTAGTCTGGTTGGTTCTTTCCACTAATGAAGTCTTCTCATGTTCACTTACATAAAATTCTTTTCAAAGGGGAAACTCAAATTTGAACACACACACACACGTGCAGGCACACACACACATATCCAACACTGATTAAAATAGATGCAGTCACTGACTTCAGATAAAAAAGTACTATTAATGTATAACCAGGTCAATAATCATAACCTAGACTTCCCAAATGTGAGGCTGAACTTGTATTTCAGAGCTGCAGACAGTCAATGCCCTGCCTTGATTCTTGCATTCTCTTTCGTTAATTCTGTGCAAACACATGGGCCTTTCTAATTAGCCTGTCTTTAATGGAGGCAGTAACTGAATGTCAACACCAGGGTAGGTCACTAAATGCCATTTCTGTTGTTAAAAACCAAGGAAACAGACAGGAGAGCACACCAAACGCAGCAAGAAACATGGAACAGTAAGAACATGAGTGAGGAGAGAGGTGCTTCTAATGAATGATAATGAAATGAGAGGTCAAAGTCTGTCATAAACTCTGAAGTTAGTAATAATCTTATTTTCCATTTAATGGCCTAGGAGTAGTCCTCGGAGGAAAGGTAAGACTGTGATGTTATAAGCAAAATGATATAGGCTAAAGGGAGACTAAGTGAGGGTTTTCTTGTAATACTATAAATTAAGAGTGAACACAGTAGAAGGCAAAAATTATCCTCAAGATTTTTTAGCCTGGTACTTTTGTCTTTTCAAGCTGTAGACAAAAGTGTTTCAATTTTGACTGAGTGAATGTTTGCTGCATGCTCTTTGAGTACTTTGAGTTGGATTTGGGGGATGCAATTTGTTTTCACGTATTCGATTAATTTTATATCTCACAATATCCCTTTCCAGGCCTGTGGCCATATTTACATTTTAAATATAAAAAAGCCAGGATACAAATATTAGGGAAGAAATATCTGCAAAGTGAATTATTCCTTACAGAAATTTCCTTGTGTCTATGTGGTGGTTCCTGATTATTTACTTAAGTTTTATAGTTGTGTATCTCCTATTACTCCCAATAGATTAGAAAATCTTTTAATTGGGAAAACATTCCCCGCATTTCTTCTGTGTCCTGTACCTAGTAGGTTCTCAGTTGTATGAGAAAAACCAACTATTTTGTTCTATGTACACTCTAACAAGATGTGTGGGATTTTTTTCCCACATCTATCAATTCTTCAAAGCAGCTGGGTGTCCCATAATTCAATTCCATTCTGACACTAACTGGACTTAGTGCAGACCCCACAGGTTAAAGGCTCAGTGCCACAAGACTTCCCCCAACTTCAGACACCAATCGTAAGTCCTCAGGTTACCCACAACTCTGTCCATCTTGTCCACACATTGGAGGACCCCACAACCTCCTCCTCAGGTTTGATCCTTTGCTCACAGAACTTGGAGAAACACTTGGTTATGTTTACTGGTTTATTATAAAGGATATTACAGAGAATATAGGTGAACTGCCAGATGAAGAGGTATACAGGGAGAAGCCTGGAAAGGTCCCAAGTTTAGGAGCTTCTGTTACTGTGGAGTTAGGATGCACCACCTTCCTGGTACGTGGATGTGTTCACCAACACAGAAGCTCTCTGAACTCCATCTTCTAGGGATTTTTATGGAGGCCTCATCAAATAGGCATGATTGATTATTAACTCAATCTGCTGTTCCTCTCCCCTCCCCAGAGGATGAGGGTGTTGGATGAAAGTTCCAAGCTTCTAATTATAACTTGGTCTTTCTGGCCACTGGCACCTATCCTGAAGCTATGCAGGAGCCCACCAAGAGTCAAGTCATTAGAACAAAAGAGATTCCTATCACCCAGGAAATTACAAGAGATTTAGGAGCCCTGTGTCAGGAACTGGGAAGGAAGACCAGATAGGTGCTTCTTATTGTATCACAATATAACATCAGTAAATGCCTTTGAAATTTATATACTTTTCAATATTCATTTTAATTATGAAAGATTATTTTAGTGTCTGCCACAACAATAATTCTCTAATGGAGTACTAAATCTTTGAATTTTAACATTAGCTCTAGAGATTATAAGTGATTTCTTATAAAGTACATT
Organism: Homo sapiens; assembly: GCF_000001405.40. NCBI lineage: Eukaryota > Metazoa > Chordata > Mammalia > Primates > Hominidae > Homo > Homo sapiens. Next base: position 81,013,046 of record NC_000010.11, read on the forward strand.
TATAGACTGATATTATGTTATGCTAATTTGGAGTTTTTCAATACAGATTAATTGATTTGGGATAGGAGATGGCAACAAAATATCATAAATAGTAAATCCTTTCACTAATATTTTCTTATAGATTCTCATGATTGATGCCTAATGTAGTGAAACAAAGCTTTCCCAAATGTCTTAGAATTTAAATAGCTGTGCTATGAGGATTTTAACAATACCCAAGGTTATTTTCCTTTAAACAGATATACAAATTCTAAGCTCAGAGATGTGCCTTTAAGCAGATGTACAAATTCTTAGCTTAGAAATATACTTTTGAGTCTTTTAATAAATACCATTATAATTCTGCATATATTTAGAAGAGTCATCTTTAAAAAGATTTGCCTAGCACATAACTAGCTCAGTAAAAGTCAAACGAGTGGATCTATAAGTGTCTCCTTCAATTAGCCTTGTAAATTAGATAAACTGTTGTAGTCTTTCTGCTGCACACAAAGTTAAAGCATTAAATAAACGCCCAAGAAAGGAGTTAAGTGCTAGGAACCTATTACTTGGTCTGTGCTACTAAAGTGATTTCAATCTAATAGGCAAATAAAACAGGATTATAAAGGATTAGGGAAACAATGTGATGTAGACTGTGGTTGATGAATTGCACTGATGGTCACAATTAATGTTGTCTCTGTGTCCACACTTTTTGTCTTATAACTGTCAAATCTTTTTCCATTCTGACTCTGGGCTGGGCTTATGACTTTTCTTCAGCTCACAGAACGTGATGGAAATAACAGGGTGTTGGTTCTAAGTCTACGTCTCAGGAATCTTCCCTCTTTTGCTTGGATCCTTGTTTTCTTGCTCATTCCAGTCCTCTGTCCCCACCTTGTGAACATGTCTGGACACCTGGAGGATGAGACATGTGGAGAAAAGCCAGTGTGGCTCAGTGACAGCCTGACAACTCCCAAAAGCAGATGTAGTCCCGCCGAGACAAGCTGCAGTTTACCATAGATTTATGCAACCACCTCAAACCACAAAAGCCTCCCAGCTAAGTCTAGTCCAAATTTTCAACCAACGGGATTATAAGCTAAGAGACTGGCTGCTGTTTAAGCCACTACATGTAGTGGATTGTTATATAGCAGTAGTTAACTGTTATGTGACGTTAAGAGCTGTGGACCCTGGCTATGTTTGCTGATTTTTCTAAAACTCACTTTCTTATGTAGAAACATACTATCCTTATCAAATGTTTGTGAGGCTTAAATTTGTACATGACAAATTACCTTAGATGGACTTAATAAACAGACACCATTACCACTACCAGTATTGCTACATTTGTGTTACTGCTGTTGCAATGAACCAAGAATTACAAGAGCAATATTTTATGTGCTATGGAAACATGAAGTAGGTGGCAACTTAACTGTCCCTTTAAGTGCCAGGGAAAGCTAAAAAGAGGTGGTCGTATAGAACCTGAATCTTAAAGGTTCTTTCAGGTGCGAAGAGGTGTTAAAAAATCCTAGCAAAAGGATGGCCTATAGTGATATTGGAGACTGAAATAATTGGATTAGTATAACATTTCACTTGACAAAGCATTTTCAGAAACAGTTTATTTGATATTCACAGCATCATTTCACAGCAGAAAATGTCTTTATTTTATTATTTAAAAATGGGTATTCTAAGTTGCCGTGAGTTATTTTGGGTCATTCAGTTTGAAAATCATGGAGCTCCCCTCGAATCCAGGCCTTTTTACCACAACAAAAGGTGATGTTTTATATATCACAATGCTTTCTTTTATTTTATATAGTTTCCCTAAATGAATTAGAAGTATTGAAAGTTTATAAAGTACTTATGTAAGACTGACAGCATGCTTATGAAAATAGATTCTTTAATTTAGGATCTACTAAGTCCTTCTTTAGATTTTTCCAACAGATAGTTAAGCAGAGAAGATGTCACTACATTTAGGATAATATTGGGAATTTATGTATCTCACATTCATTTTGTATAGTTTGTGTGTGTGTGGGTGAGCGTGTGTGTGATGTGTGTGAGGGGGGCAGAGGGGAGGGAGGGAAGGAGGGAGAGAGAGGAGAGAGAGAGACAGACAGAAACTACTTCCCATAATAACAGTAGTCTTTTGTTCCATTGTATTAAAAAATTCCAATTCTAAAAAATAAATTGCTTAAAGTAATGTGAGTTTAGAATGATTGCGTTTTTAAATTTTCTTTAATTGGAAATATGGAGAAATTTGAATTACTTTTTAACACCCAGGGAAAGCCTTAATTTTATTTTTTGACATCTAGCAAAACCTTTCTAATACGTGGTAAAAACCTGTTAATGATTTGGGATGCATCCTATGACTGAAAGCTAAATAAAAGGGTATATTTGTAGCCCATTAACATGTTTTTTAAGGTTTAAGCTACATGGAAGCACAAAGTTCAGCTTCTGATGTCACCAATTTCATTGTAAATCACATTTAATGTGGTTTTCTAGTTTAAAAATGACATTTTAAAAGCTATTACTTGGTTGTCCGCCTTCAGGACAAGGGTGGCCCTGATGGAGTAATAAATTTTGATGGAACATTGGCTTATTAAAAGTCTTCAAATTATGCTGATAATTATCTGGAGTTTATAGAGATTACTGTGTCATTATGTTTAAATGAGTCTCCAGCATAACCCACTGCAAGCTGGGCCAGAAAGCTGTGGCTGATATTGCCATATAATATGTAGCTGGATTAAGGAAGACACCATGTTCTCCTGGGTTTCTAAAAGCCACCAATTATTGTAGATTGAATTATTGTAGACTGCAGCCCAGATTTTGTTTTTGAATTCCAGCTCCCTGTATCCAATGGTCTACCACTCGAAAGGCCTATATTCACCACCATTTTAGCAGGAGCTAACCGATCCCCTTCCCTTTGATACCAGAAATACAGGCCACTCTGAAAAACAAGTGAAGGATTTAATTAGCCATTCATAAAACAGGGCAATCAAAGGCCATTTATCATACAAAAAGGTGTTCATCTTCACTAGTTAATCAGGGAAATAGAAATTAAAACCATAACAGTATACTATCACATACCTGTCAATCTGACTAAAAAGAATGACAATACCAATTGTTGGTAAGGATATAGAGCTATGTGAACTCTCATACACTTCTGGTAGGAATGTAAATTTTTGCAACCAAAACACTTTGGAAAGGTGTGTACTGTTTACTGCTCTAGTTTAAGATATACATAATTTACAGTTCAATAATTCCACTTCTAAGAGAAGTGCATGTATATATGCAACAGGATACACACATAAGAATGTTCACAGCAGCATTAGTTTAATACAGTTGATCTTTGAACAACATAGGGATTCAGGGCACTGAAGCCCCCCAACACAGCTGAAAATTCACATATAAGTTTTGACTCCCTCAAAACGTAACTATGAATAGCCTACTGTTGATTAAAAGCCTTACCAATAACAAAATAGTTGATTAATGCATATTTGTATGTTATATGTATTATACAGTAGTTTCAAACTAGAGATTACTCAAGTATCCATCAATGGTATAGACTGTATTATGTTCATACAATGGAATCTCATGCAGTGATACAAATGAACCATCTTGCTATACACAACAGGGTGTATGAATCTTGCATATACAGTACTGCATGAAAGAAGCCAGGCATAAAAAAATTTACTAAACTTTTTCATTAATATCAGCTCCAAAATGAGAAAGAGATGAACTGTTAGAATAGAAATAAAGACATTTGTTACATTTAAGAAGGAGAGAGAGGTAGTACAGTGGAGAGGGCACCAAGAAGACACCCAAGGAACTGTCAATATTCGATTTCTTAAAACTTGATGGCAGTTATATAGGTGTTTGTTTCGTGATATCTCATTGAACGGTTGCATACCTAGCATATTTGACAACTAGAATAGATAATCTGACTACCAGAATAGATAATAAGGGAGTTTCCCAATCCTCTTTCTAGGTGATGAAATTATTTTTATTAATAATCACAATAATCAATGAATAATCCATATTTTAGGGATTCATCTTTAGTTTTAAAACAACTAAAGCAGAAGAATAAAATTCAAATAATATTATACTTTACAGTTGGCTCCCTGTTTCACTGTTTTACATTTTAACATACATAAAATCTCCAAGTAGTCATATTTAATAATTCAATTAAATAGAATTCTATTTCTTCATTTTTATAGTCATGGTGTGATTATTGCTGATTTCTAATATCATATCATGTGTTGGAGACTCACTGTTCCCAAAGCATGCAATTGGAAACCATTATTGTATTTGTTTGCTAAGGCTGCCATAGCAAGATACCACAGAGTGGGTGGGTTAAACAATAGAAATTTAATTTCTCACAGTTCTGAGGGCTGAAAGTAAGTCCAGGATCAAGGTGTCAGCAGGGCTGGGTTCTCCTGAGGCTCCTCTCCTTGTCCTGCAGATGGCTGCCTTCTGGCCGAGTCCTCACATAGCATTTCCTCTGTGTGTGCACATCTCTGATGTCTCCCCATGTGTCCTGATCTCCTTGTATCAAGACACCAGTCAGATTGGATTAAGGGCATCTTAGCGACCTTATTTTCAATTACTTTCCTTTTTAAAAGCTTTGTCTTCAAATACAGTCTCATTCTGAGGTGCTGGGGGTTAGGGCTTCAACATGAATTTGGGTAGGGGTGGCACAGAATTCGGCCCATAACAATTATAAATTTAACTCTTGAAAGAATGTTTGTAGCTTGTACCCTTGTGTTGGGACCTAACCATGTAACTGGAAGTTCTCTGGATTAGTGTCCATGTTGAACTCAGAGTTTATTAAAGAATACATAATAATAGTGCTAATTTTACACACACTCACACACATATATACTTAAGACTCAGTAGTAAGCACACTATTGTTTAGAATTTAAATCAACACAGGATATTTTATTCAATGAAGAATATTCTATCACTGACATTGCTCAGAAATTCTGGCCCAGAGTGATGATTAAAAGCAGACCAATTTTAGTTATTTTTTAAATTGTTTTTAAGTTTTCTGCAGAGAACGTGCCCCCTTATTGCCTGAAGTCAGTGCAGATCACTCTAACAGTGATCTTGGTCCACCTCTGTCCATGGAATTTTATATTTATGCTTTATGCACTTTTCTGCATTGGTGTTATATTTCAATATGTTTAAAAAGTGTTGACTTGGAAGCTAGATAGATCAAGGTTCAAATCCTCCATATGTATAAATGATGCTGTCCTTTGCAAGCTGCTAATCTTCTCCATGCTTTGGCTTCTCACTCAGAAAATGAGGATTACACTATACCTCCCAGGAGCATTACGAAGATTTAAATAAAATCAGATACTACATATAAATACTTAGTCAAGTTCCAGGCACAGAATAAAATGCCCACTGATGGAGTTTGAATGCATGTCCCTGCCAAATCTTGTGTTGAATTGTAATCCCCAATGCTGGAGGTGGGATCTGGTGGAAGGTGCTTGGGTCATGGGGGCGGGTCTTTTATGGCTTGGTGCTGTGTTCATGATAATGAGTTCTTGTGAGGTCTGGTCATTTCAAAAGTGTCTGGCACTTCTCCTCCGACTCTCTCTCACTTGCTCCTGCTTTCAACATGTGACGTGCCTATTCCCTCTTTGCCTTTCGCTATGATTGAAACCTCCCTGAGGCTTCACCAGAAGCTGAGTAGATGCCAGCACTATGCTTCCTGTAAAGCCTGCAGAACCATGAGCCAATTAAGACTATTTTCTTTATAAATTACCCAGTCTCAGGTATTTCTTTATATAGCAACACAAGAATGGACGAATATACTCACTATTGAGTGAATCACATAGAGAGTTCTAGTTATTGTCATTTCACTTGTTTGTCTAAATTACTCAATCTCAAGCTTCCTGTGAGGAGATACAATCTTAGATGAATGACTTAATTTGCTAGCTCTTATGTGACAAGCACTGTTAGTGAGAAGATGACCCGTGTTTATAGACTTGTGGAGCAGGCAATCAAGTAGGAAAAACACAGCAATATATCTTACTGTGTTAGTGGAGAAATGTGTAGGAAGCTGTGGGAGAACCAATAAGGGAGCAACTGAGTTGCTGGAGCGATCAGGAAAAGACTAGCTAGAGGAGATTAATTTGAGCTTGATTTTGAAACCTGCGAACAGACAATGGAAAGGCATGACCTGCACAAAGGTTACTAGAGATGCTTCCTATAGGGCAGTGGTTCCCTTGGGGACAATTTTTCTCCACGGAGGATATTTGGCAATGTCTGGAGATCTTTTTGTTTATCAGAACTGTGGAGGTGCTACTGACATCTAGTGGGCAGAGGCAAGAGTTGCTGCTAAACATCTTGCAAGGCACAGGACAGCCCCTAGGCCGAAGAATTATCCTGCCCACAGTGTCAATACAGCTGAAGTTGAGAAAGCCTGCTGTAAGGTTTCCTTTGAAGAAACATAAAAAAAAAAAAAAAAAAGAAAACATAAAATATACTTGGGTAATTTATTATTATATCTTTTATTATTATATTTTAAAATTGATATTTGGCGGGGATGGCAGATGGCTTGCTTTTCAAAGTACACCCCAAAGTTGTAAGAATAGCAACCCCAGTCAGGCCCCAAGGAAGGGCTAGTGTGGGGGACCCTGTCCCAACTCCCCACACATCCGGGCATCACAGTGCAGTTTCCAGAAACAGCAGTGGGTGGCAGAAGACGCTACTGCAGTGAGGCAGAACTGCCCATTAGAAACAAGGAACACATTGGGCCTCTAGTATCTTCAGGTGAATGCAGGAAAAAATGGACTTTGAGAATCAGAAGAAGAAAAAAAATTCCTTAAATGATAAAAAAAAAAAAGCATCGGAAAACATAGAAGAGTAAAAAAGAAAAGATATAAGAAGGTTACAAGGAAATTTAAGCCACAAAATCAATGCTACTATTTTCTGTGTTCTAGTTAAATGATTTCAATTTACATTTTATTTGAGTATCTTTCTGTATTTCCTTAGGATTAATTCTATGAATTTCTTGCTAAAAACAATTCATTCACTTCTTTGGTGTCCTTTTATGCTCAATAATAAAAGCAGTTTGAGTTATGGATTTTCCTCTGTGTACAGTTTTCTCAAAATTATATTTTGTAGCTTGATTTACATTTTGAACAAGAGTGATTTTGAAGAAAATTTTAACATTTCTATGCAGTTTTGTTTAGGTGAGAGGTGGTTTGTTTTTAATTTCTAGTTTAATTGCAAATAAATGATTAATATTTGGAATTTATTGAAGTTTTTTTTGCAGCACAGTTGATTATACAATGTCCTAGGGACCTGTCAAAAGAAAATGCCCTACAGGTTTACAGAACAAGATGAGACCATCCATTTCCCCCCCACAAGGATACCAATTTAACAACTATCTTCACAGTAAAAACACCTTCATAAGAACTAGAAATCAGGTGAGCTCTCATAGTACCTGGTTTTAACTCCATATTGCTGAAAGAGGCACTACAGAGAGAGAAGACAGTCTTGAATTGCCAACGCCACCCCTCCTACACCCCTTCAGCAGTGCGGAGAGCATCTCTGGGCACTGGGGGAGGGAGAACACAACAATTGTGAGGCATTGAACTCAGTGCTGTCCTGTTAGAGCAGAAAGAAAAACCAGACCCAACTCAGGTGATACTCTCCCACAGAGGCAATATTTAAACCGGCCCTAGCCAGAGGGGAATCGCCAATCCCAGAGGGCAGAACTTGAGTTCCTGAAACCTCACCACCGAGGGCTAAAGTTCTCTGTGCTCTAAATAAACGTAAAAGGCAGTCTAGGCCATAAGGACTGCAAATCATGGGTGAGTCCTAGTGCTCAACTGGGCCCAGAGACAGTAGACTGGGAGGGCACGTGACATATTGAGACACCAGTTGGGGCAGCTCAGGCATCATCCCTCCTCTAAGCCCAGGTTGCATGGCTCCAAAAGAAACCCTTTCCTTCTGCTAGAGGAGAAGAGAAGGAAGAGTAGGGAGGACTTTGTCTTGCATCTTGGATACCAGCTCAGCCACAGCAGGATAGTGCACCAGTCAGTGTTTTGAGGTCCCCTTTCCGGGCCCTAGCTCCCAGATGACATTTCTAGACACACCCTGGGCCAGAAAGGAACCCGCTGCCTTGAAGTGAGGGACCCAGACCTGGAAACATTCATCACCTGCTAACTGAAGAGCCCTTGGTTCCTCAATAACCAGCAGCAATACCCAGGTACTACATCTAGGGCCTTGCTCAAGCCTCGAACTGGCTGGCTTCAGGTGAGACTCAGCATGTTACCAGCTTTGGTGGCTATGGGGCAAAACTCCTTCTGCTTGAGAAAAGCAGAGAGGAAAAATAAAGGGGACTTTGTCTTGCACCTGAGGTACCAGTACGGCCACAGGGGAGTATAGCCCCACGTGGGTTCTTGGGGTCTCTGATTCCAGGACTTGACTCTGGGATGACATCTCGGGACCTTCTCTGGGCCAGAAAATAACCCACTGCCTTGAAGAGTGAGTCTCAGGCTAGGCAGCATTCACCACAAGCTGACTTAAGAGCCCTTGGGCCTTAAGGGAACATTGGTGGTAGTCTGGCAGTACTTCTTGTGGCCTGTGGTGACAGTGGCTCTGGAGTGAGGCTTCTTTGCCTTTGAAAAGGGGAAGGAAGAGTGGGAAGGACTGCGTATTGTGGTGTAAGTGCCAGCTTAGCGGCAGTAAAATAGAACACAAGGTAGACTTGTAAGGTTTTTGACCATAGTCCCTGATTCTCAGATGGCACCTCTGGACCCACCTGGGGCCTAGGAGAACTCTCCACCCTGAAGGAAGGACACAGGCTGGGTGGCTTTGCTGCCTGCTGACTGCAGAGCCCCAAGGCCTTGAGCAAACATAGGCAATAGCCAGGGAGTGATTACAGTTACAGCAGGCCTTGGGAAAAACCCAGTGCTGTGCCAGCTTTAGGTCTGACCCAGTGTAGTCATAGTGATGGTGGCCACAGAGGTTCTTTTGTCACTCTACCCCCAGCTTTAGGTGGCTCAGTATAGAGGGAGAGAGAGACTCCATTTGTCTGGGAGAGAGTAAGGAAAGAGAACAAGAGTCTCTGCCTGGTAATCCAGAGAATTCTCCCAGATCTTGTCCAAAACCATCAAGAGGGTACCTCTGTGAGTCTGCAAAAGCCATAGCATTGCTGGGCTTGGGGTACCCCCTAAAGCAGATACAGCTTAGACACTCAAGTTTTTACAACACTCAAGTCTTTTCAAATATCCAGAAAGCCCAAGAAGGACAGATACAAAAATAAGCCCAGACAGTGAAGACTAAAATAAATACCTAACTCTTCAATATCCAGACACTGAAGAACGTCTACTAGCATCAACAGCGTTTAGGAAAACATGACCTTACCAAATGAACTAAATAAGCCACCAGGCATCAATCCTGGAGAAACAGAGATATATGACCTCTTAGACAGAGATTTCAAAATAGCTTTATTGAAGAAACTCTAAGTAAATCAAGATAACGCAGGGAAGGAATTCAGAACTCTATAAGATAAATTTAACAAAAAGATTGAAATAATTAAGAATCAAGAAGAAATTCTAGATTTGAAAAATGCAATTTACATACTGAAGAATGCATCGGAGTTCTTTAATAGCATGATTGATCAAGCAGAAGAAAGAATTAGTGAGCTTGAAGACAGGCTATTTGAAAATACACAGAGGAGACAAAGGAAAAAGAATGAAAAACAATAAAGCACATCTACAGGATCTGGAAAATAGCCTCAAAAGGGCCAATCTAAGAGTTATTGGCCTTAAAATGAGGTAGAGAAGGAGCTAGGAGTTGAAATTTTATTTAAAGGGATAATAACAGAGCATTTCCCAAACCTAGAGAAAGATATCAATATACAAGCACAAGAAGATTATAGAAGACCAAGCAGATTTAACCCAAAGAAGACTACTTCAAGACATGTAAAAATCAAACTCCCAAATATCAAGAATAACCAAAGGATACTAAAATTAGCAAGAGAAAAGAAACAAATATTATAAAATGGAGCTCCTATACATCTGGCTTCAGACTTTTCAGTGGAAACCTTACAGGCCAAAAGAGAGTGGCATGACATATTTAAAGTGCTGAATGAAAAGATGTTTTATCCTAGAGCAGTATATCCAGTAAAAATACTCTTCAAACAGGCCAGGCACAGTGGCTCACGCCTGTAATCCCAGCACTTTGGGAGGCTGAGATGGGCAGATCACAAGGTCAGGAGATCAAGGCCATCCCGGCTAACACAGTGAAACCCTGTCTCTACTAAAAATACAAAAAATTAGCCGGGCGTGGTGGCGGGTGCCTGTAGTCCCAGCTACTCGGGAGGCTGAGGCAGGAGAATGGCGTGAACCCGGGAGGCGGAGCTTGCAGTGAGCTGAGATCGCGCCGCTGCACTCCAGCCTGGGCGACAGAGCAAGACTCCATCTCAAAAAACAAAACAAAACAAAACAAAACAAAACAAAACAAAAACTCTTCAAACATGAAGGAAAAATAAACACTTTCCCAGACACACAAAGGCTGAAGGATTTTGAACAAAACCAGACCTGTCCTATAAGAAATGCTAAAGGAAGTACTTCAATCAGAAAGAAAAGGACATTAATGAGCAATAAGTAATTACCTGAAGGTGGAAAACTACTGAATAGTAAGCACACAGAATATTTAGCCATCTCACCTCAGTTAAAATGGTTTATATTCAAAAGACAGGCAATAACAAATGCTGGAGAGCATGTGGAGAAAAGGAAACTCTTGTACACTGTTGGTGGGAATGTAAATTAGTACAACCATCTTGGAGAACAGTTTGGAGGTTCCTCAAATAGCTAAAAATAGAGCTACCATATGATCCAGGAATCCCACTGCTGGCTATACACCCTAAAGAAAGGAAATCAGTATATTGAAGAGATATTTGCACTCCCATATTTGTTGTAGCATTATTCATAATAGCCAAGATTTGGAAGCAAACTAAAGTGTCCATCAACAGACACAGGGATAAAGAAAATGTGGTACACACAAAACAGATATATAGACCAATGGAACAGAACAGAGGCCTCAGAAATAACACCACACATCTACAACCATCTGATCTTTGACAAACCTGACAAAAACAAGAAATGGGGAAAGGATTCTCTATATAATAAATGGTGCTGGGAAAACTGGCTAGCCATACGTAGAAAGCTGAAACTGGATGCCTTCCTTACACCTTATACAAAAATTAATTCAAGATGGATTAAAGACTTAAATGTTAGACCCAAAACCATAAAAACCCCAGAAGAAAACCTAGGCAATACCATTCAGGACATAGGCATGGGCAACGACTTCATGACTAAAACACCAAAAGCAATGATAACAAAAGCCAAAATAGACAAATGGGATCTAATTAGACTAAAGAGCTTCTGCACAGCAAAAGAAACTAACATCAGAGTGAACAGGCAACCTACAGAATGGGAGAAAATTTTTGCCATCTACCCATCTGACAAAGGGCTAATATCCAGAATCTACAAAGAACTAAAGAAATTTACAAGAAAAAAACAACCCCATCAAAAAGTGGGCAAAGGATATGAACAGACACTTCTCAAAAGAAGACATCTATGCAGCCAACAGACACAAGAAAAAATGCTCATCATCACTGGTCATCAGATTAATGCAAATCAAAACCACAATGAGATACCATCTCATGCCAGTTAGAATGGCAATCATTAAAAAGCCAGGAAACAACAGATGCTGGAGAGGATGTGGAGAAATAGGAACACTTTTACACTGCTGGTGGGAGTGTAAATTAGTTCAACCATTGTGGAAGACAGTACGGTGATTCCTCAAGGATCTAGAACTAGAAATACCATTTGACCCAGCCATCCCATTACTGGGTATATACCCAAAGGATTATAAATCATGCTACTATAAAGACACATGCACACGTATGTTTATTGCAGCAATATTCACAATAGCAAAGACTTGGAACAAACCCAAATGTCCATGAATGATCGACTGGAGTAAGAAAATGTGGCAAATATACACAATGGAATACTATGCAGCCAGAAAAAAGGATGAGTTCATGTCCTTTGCAGGGGCATGGATGAAGCTGGAAACCATCATTCTCAGCAAGCTATCACAAGGACAGAAAACCAAACACTGCATGTTCTCACTCATAGGTGGGAACTGAACAATGAGATCACTTGGACACAGGGCGGGGAACATCACACACTGGGGACCGTCGTAGGGCTGGGGGCTGGGGGAGGGATAGCACTAGGAGAAATACCTAATGTGAATGACGAGTTGATGGGTGCAGCAAACCCACATGGCCCATGTATATCTGTGTATCAAACCTGTACATTGTGCACATGTACCCTAGAACTTAAGATATAATAAAAAGAAAATGTCATACATATACACAATACAGTACTATTCAGCCATAGGAATGAGATCCTGTTATTTGCAACAACATGTATAGAACTGGAGATCGTTATGTTAAGTGAAATAAGCCAGGCACAGAAAAACAAATATTGCATGTTCTTACTTACTTGTGGGATAGAAAAATCAAAGCAATTGAACTCGTGAACATGGTAAAAGCATGGTTACCACAGTCTGGGAAGGGTAATGGGAGACTGGGCCAGGACAGAGGTGGGAATGGTTAATGAGTACAAAAAAATAGTTAGAAAGAATGAACACAACCTGTTAGATCCATTTGGTCTATAATGCAGATTAAGTGAGTGACTATAGCCAGTAGGGTGACTATAGTCAATAATAACAATTGTACCTTTAAAAATAACTAAAAGAGTGTAAGTGAATTGTTTGTAATAAAAGGGTAAATGCCTGAGGGAATGGATACCCCATTCTTTATGATGTAATTATTTCGCATTGCATACCTGTATCAAAATAACTCATGTGTTCTATAAATATATACACTTACTTGGCACCCACAAAAATTAAAAATAAAAATATTTAAGAAAAGAAATGCTCTATAGTCATGTACTGCATAAAAACATGTTGATCAATGGATTGCATATGTTGCAGAAGACCCATAAAAGCATAATACTGAATTTTTGTTGTATCTTTTCCATGTTAGAGGTATAAATACTTACCATTGTGTTACAATTGCCTACTGTATTCAGTACAGTAACATGCTATCTAGGTTTGTAGCCTAGGAGCAACATGCTATCCCATATAGCCTAGGTGTGTAGTAGGCTATACCATCTAGGTTTGTTTAAGTACACTCTATGATGTTTGTGCATATAATTGCCTAATGATGCATTTCTAAGAATGTTTCCCTATCATTAGCTGACAACACGTGACTGTGTGTGTGTATATATATGTATATACAATATACACATGCAACATATATATGCAGTACGCCCTCCTTATCTGTGAAGGATCTGTTCTAAGACACCTAGTGGATGCCTAAAACTTTAGGTGGTACTGAATCCTACATACACTTTTTAAACCTATACCATATCTACCTATAATAGAGTTAAAATTTTAAATTAGACACAGTAAGAAATTAACAACAATTAAAATGAAATATAATGATTATAAAATATAATGTAATAAAATTACATGAATGTGGTCTCTCTCTCACACACACAAAAGATCCAATTGTACTATGCCTTTCCCTTCTTTTTATGATGTGAGAAAATATGCTGCCTACATGATGAGGTGAAGTGAGGTGAATGATGTCGACATTATGAGGGAGCATTCGGTTACTATTGAACTTAAACACAAGTATTTCAATACCACCACAGTCAATCTGATAGCTGAGAGGGTTAAGTAACTAATTGACAGGAAACAACTACAGCATGGATAGGCTGAGTAAAAGGGACAACTCATATCTCAGGCATGACAGAATTTTTTCATTTAATGTTTTTGTACTTGGTTGACCACAGGCATCTAAAACGATGACAAACAAAACTGTAGATAAGGGGGGGGGGACTACTGTATATGATATATATCTGTATATATAATTTTTATTTAAATTTTGTAGTTATTTAATGAAATCCATATTCTTATTTATTTTTTTCTCTCTTCTCTCAAAAGCTGAGATAATATATAATGTTTCCTACAACGATGGTAATTTTGCCAATTTCTGTTTCTATTTCTTACAAAGATTGTTTTATCTATTTGAAATACAGCAAGATTTTTTTTTTTCCAAAATGGCAGATAAGGGGCTTTTTGGTGCCTCAGTCATTTGGAAATAATGATATAATGTATAAAGGTCAATGCTGTGAGCTTTAATGCAAGAAGGAAAATGGGAATCCACTGGAATTGTGAAGGACACACCAGGTCCTGGGGAGGAGAATATGGGCAAAGAGCCCCTGTGATGGCATCCAGCTGATAAAAGTGAGTGAAGCTCCAGTATGCAAAAGAGGCAGAGAGCTTCCCTCTGTGATTCATCTTTCCCCTGGGGATCCAAGCAATCCAGGCTAAGGGAGAGCACTTTGTTTCTCCGAAGCTGTGGAGCTAACTTGGAGAGAGCCTTAGAAATGCTGTGAAAGAGAAACACTGGGAAAAGCTGCAGGCATTTCCCCAGACCTGGGATGCTGAGCAGGATGCCATTTTTAATCCAGGAGCATACAAAGTTAGTCATTCTCTGGTGACCTGGCAGCATGGCTGTGTAGTCAGTTTTGGGCCAGAGATTGGAGCACTTGCTCTAGAGTGGGGCAGATCTCGTGAGACCCATTCACTATCACAAGAACAGCACAGGAAAGACCCGTCCCCATGATTCAGCCAGAACTGTGGAAAATGCCTTAGCAGTAGGCACTGGAATTGTGCTATTCCCTGTTGCGGGCCTACGGCAGGAGAAAAGTTACTACAGCAGCAGTTTCTCCTGGATGATGAGACTGGTAGCCAGGACCAGCTTGATGACTTGGAATAGGTCTGCATTAGTCATTCTGGGTAGCCCAGCCTGCTCCCCTGAGACTGTGGTGCAGCAAGGTCCTCTCTGCTCCACCTCCAGGCAGAATTTGAGGTATTCAGAGCATTCAATTTTCTGGACCAGCAGCCTGGGCATCCCCACTCTTCATGGACATAGATAATGGTGCAGTGGGGCCTTTTCATCTCTACCCGCAGGCAGAAATCCAGACATTTGGAACACCCAATTGTCTGGACCAGCAGCCTGACCCTCCCCACTCTTCCTCTGCATAGATTGTGGTACAGCATGGCACTGTCTACTGATTGTAGGTCAAATTTCATAGCCCAATATAAAACCTTCCAACAAACATGTATAGGGGTACAGAAACAAACCCAAAAGACCCTACTCAGCATTCTCTGTAGGTACACTACATAGGGAGAAAGGGAAATGGAAAGAAGGAAACAATAATATAAGGAAAGAGAGAAAGGGAAAAAAATCCTACCTGCATGAAAATAATTACAAAAATTGAAAGTGTTAACATCTCCAGATGAGACAGAACCAGAGTAAGAATTCTGGCAACATGAAAAATCTAAAGTAGTACCACCACCAAAGGATAACACAAGCTCTCCAGCAATGGTCCCTCATGAAAATAGAAACTCAGAAATGAAAGATGAAGAATTCAAAACATGAATGGTGTATTAGTCCATTTTCATGCTGCTGATGGAGACATACCCAAGACTGGGCAATTTACAAAAGAAAGAAGTTTAATGGACTTATAGTTCCACATGGCTCAGGAGGCCTCACAATCATGGCGTAAGGCAAGGAGAAGTAAGTCACATCTTATGTGGATGATGGCAGGCAAAGAGAGAGCTTGTGCAGAGAACCTCCCATTTGTAAAACCATCAGATCTTGTGAGACCCATTCACTATCACGAGACTAGCACAGGAAAGACTCATCCCCATGATTCAGTCATCTCCCACTGGGTCCCTCCCACAACACGTGGAAATTATGAGAGCTAAAGGTGAGATTTGGGTGGGGACACAGGGCTAAACCATATCATCGGCCTCTGGCCCATCCAAATCTCATATCTTCACATTTCAAAACCAATCATGCCTTCCCAACAGTCCCCTAAAGTCTCAACTCATTTCAGCATTAACTGAAAAGTCCACAGTCCAAAGTCTCATCTGAGACAAGGCAAGTCCCTTCCACCTACAAGCCTGTAAAATCACAAGCAAGTTAGTTACTTTCTAGATACAATGTGGGTACATGCATTGGGTAAATACACCCATTCCAAATAGGAGAAATTGGCCAAAACAAAGGGGCTACAGGCCCCATGCAAGTCCAAAATCCAATGGGGCAGTCAAATCTTAAAGCTCCTAAATGATGTTCCGTGACTCCATGTCTAACATCCAGGTCATGCTGATGCAAGAGGTAGGTTCCTATAGTCTTGGGCAGCTCCACCCCTGTGGCTTTGCAGGGTACAGCCTCCCTCTCAGCTGCTTTCAGGGGCTGGTGTTGGCTTTTCCGGGCACATGGTGCAAGCTGTCAGTAGATCTACCATTCTGGCGTCTGGAGGACAGTGGCCCTCTTCTCACAACTCCACTAGGCAGTGCCCCAGTAGGGACTCTGTGTGGGGACTCCCAACCCTCATTTCCCTTCTGCACTGCCGTAGCAGAGGTTCTCCATGAGGACCCTGCCCCTATAGCAAACTTCTGCCTGGGCATCCAGACATTTCCATACATCTTCTGAAATGTAGGTGGAGGTTCCCAAACCTCAATTCTTGACTTCTGTACACTCACAGGCTCAATACCACATGGAAGATGGCAAGGCTTGAGGGTTGCACCCTCTGAAGCCATGGCTTGAGCTCTACAATGGCCTCTTTCAGCCACAGCTGGAGCAGCTGGGACACAGGGCACCAAGTCCCTAGGCTGCACACAGCATGGGGACCCTGGGCCTGGCCCATAAAACCGCTTGTTTCTCCTAGGCCTCTGGGCCTGTGATGGAAGGGGCTTACACAAAGGTCTCTGACATGCCCTGGAGACATTTTCCCCATTGTCTTGGTGATTAATATTCAGTTCCTCTTTAGTTTCTGCAGCTGGATTGAATATTTCCTCAAAAAATGGGATTTTCTTTTCTATTGCATTCTCAGGCTGTGAATTTTCCAAATGTTAATGCACCTCTCAAATTTTTTTTATACTGTTTCCCTTTTGAAACTGAATGCCTTTAACAGCACAGAAGTCACCTCTTGAATGCTTTGCTGCTTAGAAATTTCTTCCACCAGATACCCTAAATCATCTCTCTCAAGTTCAAAGCTTCACAAATCTCTAGGGCAGAGGCAAAATGCCACCAGTCTCTTTGCTAAAACATAACAAGAGTCACCTTTGCTACAGTTCCCAAAAAGTTCCTCATCTCCACTTGAGACCACATCAGCCTGGACTTTATTGTCCATATTGCTATCAGGATTTTTTCTCAAAGCGATTCAACAAGTCTCTGGGAAGTTCCAAACTTTCCCACATTTTCCTGTCTTTTTCCAAGCCCTCCAAACTGTTCCAACCTCTGCCTGTTAGCCAGCTCCAAATCACTTCCACATTTTTGGGTATCTTTTCAGCAACACTCAACTCCTGGTACCAATATACTGTAGTAGTCCATTTTTATGCTGCTGATAAAGACATATGTGAGACTTGGCAATTTACAAAAGAAAGAGGTTTAATGGACTTACAGTTCCACATGGTTGGGAGGGCTCACAATCATGGCAGAAGGCAAGTAGAAGCAAGTCACATCTTATGTGGATGGTAGTAGGCAAAGAGAGAGCTTGTGCAGAGAAACTCCTGTTTTTAAAACCATCAGATTTTGTGAGACCCATTCACGGGAAAGACCCGCCCCCATGGTTCAATCATCTCTCACCAGGTCCCTCCCAAAACATGTGGGAATTATGGGATGAGATTTGGGTGGGGCTACAGATGAGATTTGGGTGGGGACACAGTGTCAAACCATATCAGACTGCAAGTAGGTTTAATGAGATCTAAGACAAGGTTGGGAATCAGCACAAAGAAATTTCTAAAGCAATCCAGGAAATGAGGGAAGACAGAAACCTCACATAAAAATATTAACCTTTAGTGTAAATGGTCTACATGTCCCCACTTAATAGTCACTGCATGGCAAGTTAGATAAAAAAAATGAGACCCACCCATCTGCTGTCTTCATGAGACCCATCTCACATATAACAACACCTAGGTTCAAAGTAAAGGGTTAGAGCAGGCCTATCATGCAAATGGAACACATAAAAATGCAGGGTTTGCTATTCTTGTGTCACATAAAACAGTCTTTAAGCCAACAACAGTGAAAAAGGACAAAGAAGGGCATTCTATAATAATAAAGCGTTCAGTTAAACAAAAAGGCTTAACTCTTCCAAATATATATGCACCCAACAATGAAGCACCCAGATTCATAAAACAATTACTACTAGAACTATGAAAAGACTTAGACAACCAGACAATAATAGTCAGGGACTTCAACACCCCACTGGCAGCATTGGACAGATCACAAGGGGAGAAAACTAACAGAGAAATTCTGCATTTGAATGTGACACTTGATCAATTGGATCTAATAGACATCTACTGAAGACTCCACCCATCAAACACAGAATATATATTCTTCTCATCTGTACATGGAATAAATTCCAAGATGGACTACGTGTTTGGTCGTAAAGGAAGTCGAAGTCCCAATAAATTTTAAAAAATTGAAATCATACCAACCATATTCTCAGATCACAGTAGAATATAAATAAATATATATATTAATACCAAGAAGATTTCTTGAAACCATACAATTACAGGGAAATTAACTTATTTGCTCTTGAATTACTTTTGGGTGAATAACAAAATTAAGGCAGAAATAAAAAATTATTTGAAACGAAAACAGACACAAAACATACCAAAATATGTGGGATGCAGCAGTATTAAGAAGAAAGTTTATAGCACTAAATGCCTATTTCAAAAAGTCAGAAAGATCTCATATGAATGACCTAACCTCACACCTAGAGAAACTAGAAAAACAAAACAAACTAATACCAAAACTACTAGAAGAAAAAAAACCCCACTAATATCAGAGTGAAACTTAAGCAAATTGAGACACCAAAATACATAGAAAGAATACATGAAACCAAAAGTGGGTTCTTTGAAAGGATAAAGAAGATCTAAGAGTGCTAGGTAGATTAACAAAGAAGAAAAGAGAGAAGATTCAAATAGCCAAATCTGAAATGAAAAAGGTGGCATTACAATTGATCCCACAGAAATACAAAAGATCACGAGAGATGCTTATGAACATCTTTATGCACACAACTAGAAAATCTAGAGGAAATGGATAAACTCCTCCTGGAAATAATCTCTCAAGATTGAAGCAGGAAGAAATGGAAACCCTGAACAGCCCAACATTGAGTTCCAAAATTAAATCAGTAATAAAATACCTGGTCAGGCACAGTGGCTCATGCCTGTTACTCCAGCACTTTGGGAGGCTGAGGCAGGCAGATAACTTGAGCTCAGAAGTTTGAGACCAGCCTGGGCCATATGGCAAAACCCTGTCTCTGCAAAAAATACAAAAATTAGCCAGGCCTGGTGGCATGGGTCTGTAGTCCCAGCTACTTGGGAGGCTGAGTTGGGAGGATTGCTAGAGCCTAGGAGGTTGAAGCTGCAATGAGCCATGTTTGTGCCCCTGCACTCCAACCTGGGCAACAAAGTAAGTCCCTGTCTCAAAATAAAAACAAAAACAAACCTACCAACCCCCAAAAGCCCCAGACCAGGTGGATTCACAGCCAAATTCTAACAGACACAGAAAGAAGAGCTGGTACCAATCCTACTGAAACTATTCCAAAAAATCAAGGAGAAGCTATACTTCCTTAACTAATTCCATGAAGCCACCCATTCTGTGATCCCTGATATCAAAATCTGGCAAAGACACAACAAGCCAATATCTCTGACAAACATAAACACAAAAGTCCTTAGCAAAGTACAAGCAAATTGAATCCAGCAGCACATCAAAAAGTTAATGAACCATGATCAAGGCATCTTCATTCCTGGGATGCAAGATTGGTTCAATATATGCAAATTAATTAATGGGATTCACCTCATAAACAGTATTAGAAACAAAAACTATATCATCATCTCAATAGACACAGAAAAAGTTTTCAATAAAATCCAACATCCATTCATGCTAAAAACTCTTAAAAAAATAGGCATCCAAGGAACTAACCTCAAAATAATAAGAGCTATCTGTGACAAACCCACAGCTAACATCATATTGAATGAGCAAAAACAAAGCATTCTCTTTGAGAACTGGAACAAGAACAGAATGCCTGCTCTCACCACTCCTACTCAACATAGTACTGGAAGTCCTTACCAGAGCAATTAGGCAAGAGAAAGAAATAAGAGGCATCCAAATAGGAAAAGAAGCATTTAAACTATCTCTGGTCATGATATGATTTTATACCTAGAAAACACTAATGGCTCTACCAAAAGGTTTTTGGAAGTGATAAATGACTTCTGTAAAGTTTCAGGATACAAAATCAATGTACAGAAATTAGTATCATTTCCATACACCAATAACATTCAAGCTGAGAGCCAAATCAAGAATGCAATCCTATATATAGTAGCCACAAAAAAATACCTAGGAATACATCCGACCAAGGAGGCGAAAGATCTCTACAAAAATAACTGTAAAACACTGCTGAAAGAAATCATAGATGACACAAACAAATGGAAAAACATTCCATGTTCATGGATTGGAAGAATCAATCTTGTTAAAATGGCCATACTGCCCTAAGCAATCTACAGATTCAATGCTATTCCTATTAAACTACCAAGGTCATTTTTCACAGGACTAGAACAAAAAACTATTTTAAAATTCATATAGAACCAAAAAAGAGCCCAAGTAGCCACAGCAATCCTAAGCAGAACGCAAAACAAAACAACCAAAAAACAAAAAGAAAGAAACAAAGCTAGAGGCATCATACCACCCAATTACAAACTACACTATAAGGCTACAGTAACCAAAACAGCATAGTACTGGCACAAAAATAGACACATTAACCAATGGAATGGAATAGAAAACCCAGAAATAACACTGAACACCTACAGCCACCTGATCTTCAAAAAAAGTTGACAAAAATAAGCAGTGGGGGTAAGGACTCTGTATTCAATAAATGGTGCTTGGATAGCTGATTAGCCATAGGCAGAAGAATGAAACTAGACCCCTACCATTTACCATATAGAGAAATTAACTCAAGATGGATTGAAGATTTAAATGTAATACCTCAAGCTATAAGAATTCTATAAGAAAATCTAGGAAACACCACTTTGGACATCAGCCTTGGGAAAGATTTCATGATTAAGTCCTCAAAAGCAATTGCAACAAAACCAAAAATTGACGAGTAGACCTAATTAAACCAAAGAACTTCTGCACAGCAAAAGAAACTATCAACAGAGTAAACAGACAATCTACAGAATGGGAAAAATATTCTCAAAGTATGCATCTGACAAAGGTCTGATATCCAGAATCAATAAGAAACTTAAACAATTGAATCAGCAAAATCCAAATAATCCCATTAATAATGGGCGAAAGAAACAACAGACACTTCTCAAAAGGAAACATACACACGACCAGCAAGCGTATGAAAAAATGCTCGTCATCACTAAGCATCAGAGAAATGCAAATCAAAACCACAGTGAGATACCATCTCACATCAGTCAGAATGGCTAGTAATAAAATGTGAAAAAAACAGCAGATGCTGGCAAGGCTGTGGAAAAAAAGGGAACTCTTACACACTGTTGGTAGGAATGTAAATTAGTTCAGCAACTATGGAAAGCATTCTGGAGATTTCTCAAAGAACTTAGAACTATCATCAGTCCTGTTACTGGGTCTATACTCAAAGAAAAATAAATTGTTCTACCAAAAAGACACATGCACTCATATGTTTATTGTAGCACTATTCACAGTAGCAAAGACATGGAATCAACCTAGGTGCCCTTCAACAGTGAATTGGATAAGGAAAATATGGTACATATATACCACAGAACACTATGCAGTCATAAAAAAGAATGAAACTGTGTCCTTTGCAACAACATGGGTGCAGCTGGAGGCCATTATCCTAAGTGAATTAATATGGAAACAGAATACAAAATACACATGTTCTCATTTATAAGTGGGAGATAAACAATGGGTACTCATGGACATTAAGATGGCAACAATAGACACTAGGGACTCCAAAAGAAAGGAAGGAGGGAGAGGGGAAAGGATTGAAAACCTAACTATTGGGTACTATGCTCAGTACCTGGGTGATGGAATCAATTGAAGTCCAATCTCAGCATCATGTTTTAAGGAGGTTCTTGTAGTCATAGGGTCTATACTAGTTTCTTATGAGAAGAATATGTGGGTACTTCAGGGAAGGTGAGTAGGTGAATGTGATGTTTGAACTTCAGATGGAGGGAGGTTTATATTTTTCCAGGTTGTCCAGCAGGAAAGGAAAAATATTTTAGAGAGCAACTGACTCCCCGTGTCAAGGCCTTTTGGGGAATGACATGTTGTTTGGGGTGGCTTATTGAAGAGTAGAGGTACAGAGAGAGTTGGAACAGGTGAGAGGTGGGTTTGCTGTTCACAGGGCAGAGAGAGAAGAGTGAGTAGTCAGTGGCTATTCAACATGTGGAACAAGCTGTCATGCTGAGCTGTGTATCATGAAGTTTCAGAGCAGAATAGAAGACAGTCTTACCTTATCACGGCGAAAGCAGAGGCACTTTGTTTCAAAGATGAGAAAATTCAAGCTCTGAAGGAAATGGAACCTGGCTAAGATCACACAACTGTGAAGTTCTGAGCTGCGATTTCAACCCAGGTGTGTCTCACTGGAATGGAGCCTCTTCAAGGCAATGCCCTGTGGCGATAGGAGGTACATGGCCAAGCTGCAGGAAAGGGACACAAAGGAGAGAAATTCTTGTGTTGGACAGAGAAATGGCCATCTGTGCAGCCATTTTTGGGGGGATGGATGTCTGATGGGGGTGCTAGGGTAGAGGCAATGCCGGCAGGGCCAAGGTCCTAGAAGAAGTGTACTCACAGTCATACCTGTGGGGTATAGGTGCCAGAAAAACATAACCATTCAACAGAGTAGTTAGAGTGTTTTTAGCTGCTTGTTAAGAGCTTAGTACTGTGATTATGAGGATTTATACAACCATCATTCAGCATTTTAATTTAAACACTGGAATGCACATGAGATGACAAGCCCCCTTTCCTATGAATGTTCTAGAGGAAGGTGGCATCAGATGGGAGGAAGACAGCACTCAGAAGGTGTGAACTGAGGGTGGGGATGTGGAAACTTGGTCTGAAAGATCTAACGTTTTGGGAGTGGGTAGCAGATGGAGTTGTAGGGAAATGTGAGGAGACTCTGGGAGCCTTAGCAGCTGGCGAGGTTGGGAGGTTGGGGCAAGATCTTTATAAGAGATTTCCACCTTGAAAAATTCCCCATAGTAGGTGTGACCCAAGAACAGCGTGGGAAGCAGTGTGACAGACGCTGGGCTGTGAAGTCTCTATCCTTGTTACCATGGCATCTGCAGAAATGTTGTACTATATACAATAGCCTCCTGAGAGGTTCAGGGGAAATAAGAAAAATGTGGTTATGTTCTGGTTTTGGTTTGCATCATCCCCAGATGCAGAAAAATGTGGGTAGATGAACAATTCAGGCAGAACCAAAAATCAACTAGAGGAAACAACAACAACAACAATGAACTCACAATGATGAGTATGCCAAAGGAACACAAGAACCAATTGAAAATGTTTCCAGTGCCCAAAGTTAGAGTAATCTGAGTAAATACATAATTAAAGCAATATTGAATTATAAATCAAAGTATAAAATAAATAATAGTGAGTTCATACTGATGTAAATAACGATTAAATAAATGAGTGGAGAAGAGACAAATGTCTCATACAGAAGAATTTTAAAAATTTATATAGATATTTCACCCTCAAGGAAGTGGAGCATATTCCTTACTACTTAAGTATGAGGGACACACATGTCCTTCCAAAGAGTAGTGTATGGAAGTCAGGCAGGGAGAACGAGTTTACACTTTAGAAACATGCAAAACACTATCTCATAGGTGACCAAGGTTAACATTAAAAGTGACAAATTATGTTGATAGTACCATTTATATGATGTCATAAGAATGGTGCTTACTTCTGTGGTCTTCCTTCCCCAAACTCTTAACTCCAGTCTAATCTTGAGAGAAATGTCAGACAAAGCCAAATTGAGGAACATTTTACGAAATACCTGACTAGTACTCCTCAAACTGTCAAAAACACCAAAAACAATGGAAGTCTGAGAAACTGACACAGTCAAGAGGAGCCTAGGGAAACGTAACAACTAAGTGTAATGTGGTTCCTGGATGGCATCCTAAAACAGAAAAATAACATTAAAACTAAGGAAACTGAATACAGAGAAAGGACTTTATTTAATATTCACCAATGTGAATATATCAATATTTATCCACAAATTATAACCAACATGTCATACTAATGTAAGATGTTAATAATAGGGGGAAACAGGTGTTGAGTATATATAATATCTTCACTTTTTTGGCAAATAGAAAACTATTCTAACATTAAAAGTTTATTAAAAAATGATGAATTTTTGCCATAACATATGAATAATTACACTAAGTATAAATGGTCTAAGTCTACCAATTATAAGACAAAGATTAACAGGATGTAAACAAAAAAATGACCCAACTGTATGTTGTTTAAATACATTGATTTCAAATATCATAAGTAGGTGAAAGCAATATAACAAGCAAACATTAATCGAAAGCAGGAGTAACTGTATTAATATCAGATAAAGTAGACTTCAGAGCAAAGAAAATTGTCTAAGATGGAAAGGAATATTATTTAATGATAAAAGGGTCAATCTTTTTAGAAGACATAGTAATCCTTAATGTTTATTCACCTAATATAAAGGCTACAAACTATATGAAGCAAAAAGTGATATAACTTAAAGGAGAAATAGACAAATTTACAATTATAGTTGGAGTCTTTAAAATCCCTTCTCAATAACTAATTAAACAACTTAGACACAAATTCAGCAAAGATATATAGGAACAAGTTCAGATGCCGCCAACAACCAACAGGGTCTAATTGCATTTATAGAACACTCCACTCAACCACAGAAGAATACACAGCCTTTTCAAATTACCACAGAACATATTACCAAGATAGAACATATCCTTGGCCATAAAGCAAACAATGAGAAATTTAAAGGAATTAAAACCACACAGACTGCTTTCTTTATCACAATGGAATCGAACTAGAAATCAGTTGCAGGAAGACAATGAGAAAATATCCAAA
This sequence comes from Homo sapiens, assembly GCF_000001405.40. Taxonomy (NCBI): domain Eukaryota; kingdom Metazoa; phylum Chordata; class Mammalia; order Primates; family Hominidae; genus Homo; species Homo sapiens. Next base: position 81,038,235 of record NC_000010.11, read on the forward strand.
CACTTGGAAACTAAACAACATACTACATAATAATCCATGAGTCAAAGAAGAAGTCTTAAAGGAAAATTTAAAAGATACATTGGACTGAATAGAAATGAAAATGCAACATCTAAATTTGTGGTATTAAGCTAAAACAATGCTGTGAGGGAAATTCATAGGACTAAATGCTTATATTAGAAAAGGGTAAAGTTCCAAAATCAATAATCTAAGTCCCTCAAGAAACTTAAAAAAAAAGTCAAAGTAGACCAAGCAAGCAGAAGGAAGAAAATAATAAAGATAAAATTATAAATTAACAAAATTGAAAACAAAAAATTTTTAAAAAATCAGTGAAACAAAAAGCTGCTTCTTTGAAAATATCAATAAAATTTGCAAACTTCTAGCATGACTAAAAAAAGGTGACACAAAATGCTAATATTAAGAATGAAATAGCAAATATTACCACAGACTCTGAAGGAATGGAAAGAATAGTAAGGAAATACTGTAAACATCTTTACACCCATCAATTTAGCAACTTTGAAAAAATGGACCAATCCTTAAAAACACAAACAACCACAATGCATTCATTATGAAATGGATAATTTAAATAGCCATGTAATTATTATGGAAATTAAATTCATAAGTAGACACCCCTCAAAAAGAAATCTCCAGGTTTAGATGGTTTTACTAGAGTATTTTACCAGATGTTTAAAATAGAATTAACATCAATTCTACAAAGTCTCTGCCAGAAAGAGAATAATCTTTTATGAGACCAGCACAACATGATACCAAACCAAACCAGATTAAAAAAAGAAAATGACAGATCAATATCCCTCTCAAAAATAATGCAGAAATCCTTAATAAGACATTAGTGAATTTAGCAATATATAAAAAGAATTATACATTATGACCAAGTATGCTTTATTACAGGGGTCAAGGTTGTTTTAATATTGTAAAATTAATCAATAAAATCATATTAACAGGCCAAGGAACAATAACATGATTTTATCAACAGATTCAGAAAGAGCATTTGACAAAATTCAACACCCATTCATGACAAAAACTCTCAGAAATCTGGAAATAGTGGTCAATTTTCTGATCTTGATAACAAATATTTACAAAAAACTTAACGGCTAACATTATAGTTAATTACTATGACTAAATGTTTTTCCCCTAAGAACAGAAAAAAAAAAGGTAAGAATGTCTGCTCTCACCACTGCTATTCAGTGGTCATGCTGGAATTTCTGGCCAGCACAATAAAGCAAGAAAAAAAAAAAGGCATACAGATAAGGAAAAAAAAAAAAAAAAAAAGAAACTGCCCCTGTTTGCAGATGGCATGAATGTGGAAAATTCAATTAACCAAACTCTCTTAGAATTAATTAGATAAGTTCAGCAGTCTCAGGACACAAGATCAACATGCAAACATCAACTCTATTTCTATATTCTAGCAGTGAACCTGTTGAAACTGAAGTTAGAATACCATTTCATCATTAACCAACCAACCAAACAAAACACACACAACTTAGTTGAAAACCTAAAAAACATGTCCAGGACCTTTATGCTGTAAACAAAATGCTGATACTAGAAACTAACAAATAAAAATCTAAATAGACATACTGTGTTTATGGATTGAGTCAGTAAAAGAGAGATGTCAATTATCTGCAAATTGATATTCAGGTTTACCAGAGCATTCTCTCCTTCCAGTGTTAACTTCATTTCAAAGGGGCTAAAGACCCAGACAGCAACTTCCTGCCTTACTCCCACAATCCTAAATCTTTAGCATATTTTTGTAGAAATGATTACGAACAAGAGGACAAAGAAATTACTCTGTATCTCAACCTGTAATTTTTCTCAAAGCAAAAGAGTTGGAAGGCAAAGTTTCCCTCTCAATAAAGTTATTTAAGATCAAGTCAGAAACCCCTTGATGGTGGTGGAGGCGGGGAGTTATGGCTGTTCTTTGACTATCCTTCCCACGTTTATCTAATCTCTGGAAGGTAATGATAACCAGAAACATCATCATCATCATCATCATCATCATCATCATTATGATAGCCGCTTGTGCTATGGGCCCACAACCTGTGCTAACTACTAACCCCATAAGGCCAAGAGGACTTACAAAAATTGCTCAGATTCGTACGGATTGTTAATAGCATCAGGAAAACTCCAACTTGGGTTTCCATGATTACAAAGCCAGTGAACACCACCAGTGGAAATCGTTAGAAATATATTTGTATTTATTTTTATCTTACCTATTTCTTCTGTCCATTTCTATTGTTTGCTATATAATTACATAACATAACATTAATACGATTATATATTAAATTAATAAATAATTAATGGAAATTGAGATTAATTAATTAATTAAAAGTGAGATTTTTAAAAGGTTTCCTTTGTACGAAATTATATAAAATCTGGAAAACCACTCTAAACTGCACTGTCCTGCCCTCTTTATGCTGGTTTCTATGTCCTTATATAACTCACCTGTATATGTCATCCATCAACACCCCAGTGATGAGTAATAATTCTAATATGCAAGGTCTGTAAGTGAGAAAGCTGAGCATTATGATTAAATGGCTCTACATCTCCATTTTTCAAAATGTGTTTGTTAACATGAAGCAGAACAATTTTCTGCACCCACCTTAGAGGTCCCACTGTGTAGTGCTCTCCTATCTGAGTTGTATTCTTCAATATTTGGTGTGATTAACAGTGGGGGTAGGGCTCACACTCAAAACAACATACTGCTTTGCCATTTCTCCTATGAATTCTTGAAGCAATGAAAGTCAGAAAAACATTGTCAGGATAGGGTCATAATAAAAGGCCCTATTGAATGCTGTTCTCCTGAGCCTATAAATTCAGTGAAGTTTATTGTTCTGATCTTGAGTCCACAGATTATGCTGTTTGCTTTAAGGCACTAAAGAAGCAGTCAGTTTGAGCAGCAGTAAAATTTCTGCAGAATAAACAAACTCATAAACTGGCATTCTACAACTTCCTTCCACTGCACTATTTCGCCATGGTTGTTTCACTTCAGGATCACAGTGGTAAAATGATGCAAAGTACAGACTGACTTCTAGGATTTAAAAAGACAAGATTAGCATTTCGACAATACCTAACAAATATCTCCTAACTTAAAAATTTTCAAAATATTTCAATGATGTATCACTCTCTATGGTAATAAGCACAATGGTCCAGTGGTATTTTTAGTGACTTGGGCAGCTTTGTAGTCTGTGAGCAAGTGCATTTCAGGCGATTACTGCAACAGGACTGTGCTGTTCTTGGCTACTGTTGTGATTAATTGACATTACCCAGGAAATGCACAGCTGAAGGTAAGAGATGCCGGCATAAATGTGGCACCATAATTTGTAATTGGTGTGTGTCTTCCCTATATATCTCCTTAGCATCCCTTTCCTTTTAAGCAGCTACAGGGCCCTTTTATAATTCAGCATCTGTGTAAATCTGAGATTCTCTGGTCTTTTGTAAAAGCCCAAACCATTTGAAGAGAGACTGTAGGTGTCCCAGAGGGGTTTGAGTAAAAGAGAATGACTGAGGAAAATGAGAAAGAAAGTCAAGTTTTCTTCCCCAGCCTGAGAAGGATATGAGCAGCCGAGAACAGTGCTCAGCGTTTTGGCTGTGCACCAGGAAGGTGGGAAATTGTTGGTTGGCTAGGATGAATATTAAGTTTGCTGGGCTCAGAGCCCAAGTATTCACAGCCCAGCCTAAGAATCTGTGTCCCAAATGTGTCAAAGGAGCACCAGAACCACTGAAGGAACCTTATGTGTGCAAAGCCAATAAATATGTTGGTGGTTTCCAGTGTGGACAGATGGCTGGTGACTGGAATGGTGTCCTCAGTACCTTTAAAATGTGCCTCGAGAACAAGCCCAGCACATTTAGCTTGGGAACTGGAAAATGATTGGAAGTGATTTCCCCAAATCATGATGAAAGCTTGCATGCCAGAATTTGCAGGCTGTTGTTCACATCAGCTATAAGATATTCTTTTCTTATACCCTTAAGATCTGCAACAATCACTATCTTCCTAAAGACATTCACTTCTATGATAATACTTTCCAAATCTCTTGTAAAATACATCTTTTCTGTTGTACCTTAGATTCCACTTACGACTTCGTTTATGTTCCATTTCAAAATACTTTGTGGTATTCTTTTTGATATTGCTTGCATTATGTAAGTATGCATATTGCCTGCTTTTAGCATTATTTATCTCTGCCTTTTACTGGGGAGTCTGATAGCTTATTCTGTTTATTTTATTTCCCAGTACTTGAAATAGAGCCATAAGGAGCAGCATGAGGGGGCTTATATTAACATACACATACTGACACTGAAAAGAGCAGAAGAAAAGCAAAAGATGAAGACCAAATGCCAAGACTGTTTTTCTCTTATAACCTAGAGCATGTGTGTTATAGTGGGCGTATCATATTTCATTGAATCTGTCTAAGGTATTGTTCATTGTACAGTCATTGTTTTAGGTACTAATAAGAAAGAAAATATGCTGCCAATAAAACTGATACAATGCTTCCTTATCACTTAAAATTTTTGTTTTCTACTTATTGGAGGAAATCTTATAGTTACTTAACTATAGACTTTTATTGTATGTCACTCTTGTACATGCATAAAAAAGAAAGTAAAAGTGAGATAAATGAGTTACCCTATTCTGAAGCTTCTTCACTTCTAGCATCTGACTTTCCTGAATTACCTTCTAACTCAGAGTTATCAAATTCATGGGCAACATTTTTCTAGCGAACACCCCATTATTATCTCGGAGTTCTCTCCCAGTAAGCTGATGTTGCCACTTTTCATGTTTGCTCATGCCAAAGAAATGGCAACTACATCATAATTGTCATCTGCCTGCAACAATCTTAAGATGCCATATTGTAATAAGCACTTCTGTTTTAATTATATTACATATTTTAAAAGAATGTGTGCATAAAAAGTAAGGAAACATGGAATTAACAGTTTCCATAATTTGTTATAAAATAGATTCATGACATAGGAAAATTATTCTGTAGGATTAAAAAAAGACCTTTTATTTTGCTTTCTTCTTACACTTTTATTTTCAAGGCAAAATACAAAGCCTTTTCTTTGTATTTCATTTCTTTAAAGCTTTCAGAAATGTTATAGCCCATGAATATGGTGAAATGATTTGCCACTGCAATGGTTTAATCAAGATTCCCGTTTACATTAGGTGATAACTATTTAAAATTCTCCCATTGTTGTTCTGTAGATACAAGGGATGTGATGAGAAGTAAATGCAAATAAAGGTTATAATATGTTCTTCCTGGACTCCCAAAAGCTAATCTTTCACACTGATTTTGAGGAATACTATCCTGAATGTAAAGATGGTGCTCAATCAGATGAGAATCCTTGTTTTTTTCAGAGAAAGTACAGTTCATCTTTTTCTCAGTTTTTTACTGGCATCTTAATGCTAGAGGGTTAATTTGTTTCTGCAAGTGAGCCTTTGATTACCAGACTGTAACTTCCTCATGTGGCAATAGTCAGTCTTAGGAAAAGTTCCCTGTGAAGTTAATTTTTATAAATTGAGTCTGGCTCCCCGCTGACTTCATAAAATGGAAAATTTGTTTCTCTTGGGGCAGAGGAGAAACATCGTCCTTAGATGTAATAAAATTGCACTAAAGTATAGAGAAAATCTTTGAAAAGCCTATATTTGAAAGAAAATCCTTACTTTTATGCTCAAATAATGTTACTCAAAATGAGATCAAGTCTTGATTGCTAAACAGTATAGCTCCCTCTCTGGCTGTTGATATTCCTAGTACAATACTAAAAGATCCAAAAGAGAAAAGAGAAATAATAAAGATATCACCTTCATTAACTAAATGAAAATGTTTTCTATTTGCTATTTGCCACTTTTCTTTCAAGGCCCAGTCTAAACCCCAGCTACTTAATATGCTTATATTAAGATTACATAAAAAGGATCAATATTGCAAACAATATAATCAGTCTATGTGTATACTGTTGAATATATTTTACTGAGTTAACTATTAGATAAGTAAAACTCTTTCTCTTATTTATGCAGTTTGGGTCTTTGAAATGATGATAGAAAGTATCCCTCAGGATCTCTCATTGAAAGGGCAAAGAAGTGAGAAGAGTGTGGTTCCTATTTTTTAATATTCATTTTGTTTCAAAGTGTTGGCTAGATAGTGGCTATATAATGAATTTGAGTGTATCAGTAGCTGGTTAAATCTTTAGGGGACAGTTTTATAAATTAAATTATTATCTCAAAGTGATAATTTTTTTAACTTTTATTTTAAGTTCAGGAATACACATGCAGGTTGATTATATAAGTAAACTTGTGTCTGGGGGTTTGTTGTACAGATTATTTGTCACCCAGATATTAAGCCTAGTACCCCTTAGTTATTTTTTCCTGATCTTCTTCCTCCTTCCACCCTCCACCTTCTGGTAGTCCCTAGGGTCTGTTTTTCCCCTCTATGTATGTATGTATGTGCTCTCCTCATTTAGCTGCCACTTATAGGTGAGAACATATGGTATTTGGTTTTTTGCTCCTGCATTAGTTTGCTAAAGGATAATGATCTCCACCTTCATCTGTGTTCCCGGAAAGGACATGATCTTGTTCTTTTTTATGGCCACATAGTATTCCATAGTATTTCATGTCCTTTGCTTACTTTTTAAAGGTTTTTTTGTGTAAATTTGTTTAAGTTATTCACAGATGCTAAATATTAGACCTTTGTCAGATGCATAGCTTGCAAAAATTTTCTCCTGTTTTATAGGCTATCTGTTACTCTCTTGACAGTTTCTTTTGCTGTGAAGAAGCTCTTAAGCTTAATTAGATCCCACTTGTCAATTTTTGCTTTTGGTGCCTTTATCATGAAATCTTTGCTTATTCCTAGGTCCAGGATAGTATTGTCTTCCAGGGTTCTTATAGTTTTGGGTATTATATTTAAGTCTTTAATCCATCTTGAGTTGATTTTTGTATGTGGCATAAAGAAGGAGTCCAGTTTCAATCTTCTCCATATTGTTGGCGAGTTATCCCAGCACCATTTATTGGATTGGGAGTCTTTTCCCCATTGCTTGTTTTTGTTAGATTTGTCAAAGATCAGATGATTGTAGGCGGCCTTATTTTATTGGGCCTTATTTCATCAGATGGCCTTATTTCTGGGCTTTCTATTATGTTCCATTTGTGTATGTGTCTGTTTTTTCTACCAGGACCATACTGTTTTTGTTATTGTAGCCATGTGATATAGCTTGAAGTCAGGTAGCATGATGCTTCCAGTTTTGTTCTTTTTGCTTAGGATTGCCTTGGCTATTTGGGTTCTTTTTTGGTTCCATATGAATTTAAAATTAGTTTTTTCTAGTTCTGTGAAGAATGTCATTAGCAGTTTGATAGAAAGAGCATTGAATCTATAAATTGCTTTGGGCAGTATGGCCATTTTAGCAATATTGATTCTTCCTATCCATGAGCATGGAATATTTTTCCACTTGTTTGTGTCATCTGTGATTTCTATGAGCAGCAGTTTGTAGTTCTCCTTGTAGAGATCTTTCACCTCCATGTTTTGCTGTATTGCTAGGTATTTTATTCTTTTTGTGGTGATTGTGAATGGAATTGCATTCCTGATTTGTCTCTCAACTTGACTATTGTTGGAGGATAGGAATGCTAGTGATTTTTGCACATTGATTTTGTATCCTGAGACTTCGCTGAAGTTGTTTATCAGCTTAAGGAGCTTTTGGGCTGAGACTATGGGGCTTTCCAGATGTTGAATCATGTCATCTGCAAACGGGAATAGTTTGATTTCTGTTCTTGCTATTTGGATGTTCTTTATTTCTTTCTCTTCCCTGATTACTCTGGCCAGGACTTCCAATACTATTTTGGATAGGAATGGTGAGAGAGGGCATTCTTCCTTATCTTGTGCTGGTTTCCTTGGGGAATGCTTCCAGCTTTTGTTCATTCAGTATGATGTTGGCTGTGGGCTTGCTATGGATGGCTCTTATTATTTTGAGGCATGTTCCTTCAACACCTAGTATATTGAGAGTTTTTAAAATGAAGAGGTGTTGAATTTTATTGAAAGCTTTTTCTGCATCTACTGAGATAATCATGTGGATTTTGTCTTTAGTTCTTTTATGTGATGAATCATATTTGTTGATTTGAGTATGTTGAACCAACCTTGCATCCCAGGGATAAAGCCTACTTGATCTTTGTGAATAAGTTTTTTGTTGTGCTACTGGATAGAGTTTGCTGATATTTTGTTGAGGATTTTTGCATTTATCTTCATCAAAAATATTGACCTAAAGTTTCCTTTTTTTGTTGTGTCTCTGCCAGGTTTTGGTATCAGGATGATGCTTGTTTCATAGAATGAGTTAGGGAGGAGTTCCTCCTCCTAATTGTTCTGGGTAGCTTCACTAGGAATGTTACCAGCTCTTCTTTGTATTTCTGGTAGAACTTGGCTGTGAATCTGTCTTGTCCTGAGCTTTTTTGGTTGGTAAGCTATTAATTACTGATTCAATTTCAGAGCTTATTACTGGTCTGTTCAGGGATTCAATTTATTCCTGGTTTGGTGTTGGGAGGGTGTATGTGTTCAGGAATCTATCCATATCTCCTATTAATAGATTTTCTAGTTTGTGTGCATAGTGTTGTTTGTAATATTTTCTGATGGTTATTTATATTTCTGTGGGCTCTGTGGTAATATACTCTCAAAGTGATATATTTTTAAAGCTCTCAAAACATTCTGGCAGTGTATGAGTGCCCATCTCAGAAAGTATCCACCAGTGTTGATAATTATCAAGTGTATTAACTTTTGTCAATATAGGTTGAAAAACAAAAGTCTGTTTTAATTTGTATTTTGGAATTTTACTTAACTGTATATTTCAAATTTTTTCTTAGTCATAGTAACATTTGTGCATATGTTCTTTCATATGTTGGGCATTTTTTTTCTTGTGGAAGCATTAATATATTTTCTACTTGATTTAAAGTATCTGTGATATTATTGTTGTTAGCATTTTATATTAATTTTGTAAATACTGAGGTATCCTTAGATAGAAAGTTTTTAATTTTCATACAATGGTTTTCTTGTTCTGGCAACATGCTGGGAAAGCAAACCTGGAACCATTTCAATTACAAACTGAAGAAATGGCAGATTTAAATTTAATGTATAGCTAATCTCATAAGAAAAAAAGGAAGTTCCATTTTCCAGAAACAAAGAAGGTACTGAAAATCAGAGCACCAAACCAGTTAAGTGAGGCTGTGTTGGTCTTGTGGATGATTATCAAACCCCACATTAGGTCCAAGAGAATCAGGCTTTCCTTTCCCTATAGGAACGGAGCACTGGGCCTTTGATGGAGATTTGGGACTAAGATCCCTGCACAAAGACAGAACATCATCTGGAGGATGAATTTTCAGGGAAAGGAGAAAAAGAAAACTTCTGCAAAATAACCTCTTGAGAGACAAGGAAGTTCTTTCTCTACTGGAAAGATAAAAAAATTTCCATGAATAAACAAAACCCTGAGTTTGTGCTTAATATATGCTGCCTTACCTAGGCTATAGGAATTCTCCAACTGGGATCTTAAATTGGACTCAGGCTAATTACCCTAAACTGCAGAGAAGCTAATGTTCTGGAAGACAGAGCCACAGGCTACAAAAGTTGACCTATCCAGTAGAAGTCAGGAGAGAAAAAAATTTAAAAAAGAGAAGCAACAAAGAAAATACATGGTAAAGAGAAAGTACAAAATAAGATAGTATAAATAAATGCTATGCGTTAGTAATTGACATAAACACCAACACATCACAGTAGTAAAAAGACAGAGATCCTCAGATTAGAATAAAATAAAAGAATCCAGTGTTGGGCTACTTCAGAACTAATATACAGTGACATAAATTTCAGGGGAAAAAAATGGAAGAAAGCTGTGAGTCTGGATTCAGCAATATGGTAAAATAATGTAACTTTAAAATACTTTCACTCTAAACACCTTAGGTCCTGGGTAAAGTTACTATTTGATATCCATCAAAGAAAAGAGAAGAATAGGTTGGTGCAAAAGTAATTGCAGTTTGTAATTGCAGTTTTTGCCTTTGCCTTTAGAGGAATAAAAACACAATTACTTTTCACCAACTAATACGAGAATGCCAGAATCTAAGAAGAAACTTAAAACCATAGAAGGAAAAACAAATGCTCAAAATGTGTCTGTTTTTGCGTTGGTTTAGGGGCAGTTAATGGTGTGGTCATGGTCATTTAAGGGATCCAAGGGCAATGCCCAGTAGGATCAGATGATCAGAACCCTGAGACTGTGCTGAATTTATGCTACCTCACCTAGGATGCAGGAATTCCTACACTGGGAACTTAAATTGGACTCAGGCCATGTGTTGGTAGGTTTTCATAATAAAATGTTTGAAAAGTGAAAGAAGCCAGATATTTGAGTTCTCAAACTACGAATACAAGTTAACTTCCAACTTAGAATTATTTACCTAAAACTTTAATCAAATGATCATTCAAGTTTGAGGGCGAAATGAAGATATTTTCAAGCAAAGGCTGATTATATCACAAACAGAAATTTGCTGAATGGATGCCTGAGGATATATTTCAGGGAGAATGAATTAAACAAAGAAAAACATAAAATGTAAGAAGTAATGATAAGCAAAAGAATATTTGAAACACATGCATTTCTATCCTACCTAAAACTCATAAGTAGTTTCTAAGAGTGCCTGTTTCTCCATACGTTTTCCAGTATTCAATCTTGTCAAATTTGAGGTTTGAGTTCTTAACTTGTATTTATATACTTTAACAATAAAAGAGGTTGGGCATTTAAAGCTTCTGATTTCAGGTAATTCTTTTTATTTTCTTTTCTGTAAACTGTAGGGCCTTAACCCAGATGTTGTTTCTGCTAATTTATTAGGGCTTAAGCTTGTAATTGATTTATGAGCTATTTAGTAAATTACTTAGCTCATTAACCTTTATGTATATCATAGATATATTTTCCTGGTTTGTCAGTTACCTTTTTATTGAATCTATGGTATTTTGCCAATTTTTACTTTCATATATTTAAATTACTCAAAACATCTCAAAATTTTCCATTATTGTTTTAATATGGTACTTAGAAATCTCTGACCTCCCCAAGAATATAAGTAAATTCAATTATATTTAATTCTAACCATTTTCTATTTCATCTTTTAGATCTGCAATTTTTACTATTCGGAAATTATTTTGTTGTACAAAGTGTGGTAGGGATCCAAGTTAATTTTTTTCTTTATTGTGATCGTACTTATTCAAATTGCATAATAGAAATCCATCAGTGAATTAGAATTCATTTTACAAAATTTTCTCTGGTGCCAAAATGTCTGTAAAGGATGGGACTTCTGTAATATATGCCAGAACTTCTATTTCCATGCTCCCCAAATTAAAATAAAAATCTTTTTAAGTAATGTCAGGACTTTAAATATTAAGGATTACAGATACAGTTGGAGGACTAATAAGTTAATACATGAAAACACTTTTGACATACTACATATGGTGGGAAGTGTGAACAACCTGGTAATGACAATGTATCTTTATAAGGTACTGTTAGGACAAAATTTAATGTTCTGAAATTGGATTTGCATTGCTTCAGTTTTATTTTCAAATATGCATAAATGTATTACTTTTACAGAAGGCAAAAATGGGAAGAGTAAACACAGACTATTGAAATCACTTTGCACTTAGTTATTAAATATATCATTGACTGTTAATTTCACTGCGTGAGTTATGCATTCACAAAAATTCCTTGGAGAGCTGAATTCTTCAAAGGTTAATGAGTAGTAAATTTTTATGGTGGGAAGTGTGACAAGTGCTTTTATTGTCACTGCCTCATTTGTATTTCTAATTGTCTCGATAAGTTGGGAATGTTTTCCAAATTAATATAACTTTCCCTTTTCATTCATCTTCTAAATCTCATAAAATCATACAAATAAAGTTATACTTTTATGCTTACACATATTTTTGGATTCTTAATATTTTCATTGTCACTTTTGTACTTCAATATAAGTAACAAATGGGGCTTATGAATTTAGATATCAATCTGAGATATGTTTAACTTCCTCATTTTTGAAAGCTGCTCATTAGTATTCACCTAATACTAAAGAAGGATCTTCTACAATTCTCTGGACTTTTCTCTCTGTTAAGCTTTTCTTCTCTAGTACCTCATCTTGGCTTCCTCAGACCCCCAAGTCCATCTCCTTATCGAGAATATATTGGGATCTTCCTGGGTATCCCCATCCATGCTGTGTCTTGGAAACTTTTTCCAGGCATAATTTAAGGGAATCAAAAGACTCATTTTTCCCCATACCTCAGGGATTACTGTCCTTCATTGCCTGATGTCTAACACATTACCTTTTGTTTTTATATGTATTTGTTTTGATAATTTAGAGGAGAGGGTAAATCACATCTCAGGTTAACTGGAAATGGAAGCTTGTCTAATGGTTAAAATACCAGGAAGCTTTTAAAATAGCATTTGACAAGCTAATAATAAAATTTATTTGGAAAGTCAAAATACCTAGAATAGCCAAAAACAATTTTGAAAGAGAACAAAAGTGGACAGTATCTGATCTGAAAACATTCTAAAGCCAAGGTAATCAAAATAGTATGGTATTCATCAAAGGATGGACAAAGAAATCAATGAAACAGATTTATTTATTTTATTTATTTGTTTATTTTTGAGACAGAGTTGCACTCTTGTTGCCCAGGCTGGAGTGCAATGGTGCAATCTCTGCTCACTGCAACCTCTGCCTCCCAGGCTCAAGCAATTCTCTTGCCTCAACCTCCCTAATAGCTGGGATTACAGGCTCCCACCACCACATCCGGCTAATTTTTTGTATTTTTAGTAGAAATGGCGTTTCACCATATTGACCAGACTGGTCTCCAACTCCTGACCTCAAGTGATCCACCTGCCTTCGCTTCCCAAAGTGCTGGGATTACAGACATGAGCCATCACTCCCGGCCGAAACAGACTGATTTATAAGATTGGTTTCTGGAAATGAGATTCTGGAAATAAATCCTTATATTTATGGTCTTTTGATTTTTAATAATAGTGCCAAGGCAATTTAGTAGGGAGAGGATATTATTTTAACAAATAATGCTGGGACAAGTGGATATTTACATGCCAAATAAATGTGTTTAGACCTTTACCACATACCACACACACAGTTAACTAAAAAATATTTATGTTAAAATATGAGAGATAAACACTAAAACTTAGAGAAAAAAATAGAAGAAACTCTTAATGATCTTTGGTTGGGTAAAGAGCACTTAATATGACACAAAATAACAACCTGGTAAATTAAACTTTATACAAATTTTAAAAGTTTGTACCTTAAAAGACACCTTTACCAAAAAGGTAAGCACCAAAAAGTCTTGTGTTTTCTACCAAAAAGAAAAGACAAACACATACTTGAAGAAAAATCTGTAAATCATATATCTGATAAATGTATTCGGAATATATAAAAGTTCTCACAAGGTAAAATTAAGATAATTCTATTTAATGTTTCACTGAAGATATGCAAATGGCTAATAAGCATATGAAAAGATGCTCACCATCATTAGTCATTACGAAAATGCAAATTAAAATTACAATGAGATACTACTATACCCCTTCTAAAAAGGCTGTAATAAAAAAATACAGTCAACACCAAGTGTTGGTGAGGATATGGAAAAACTGAACTCTTACATGTTGTTGGTGTGAATGTAAAATGTTGTAGCCACTTAGGAAAACAACCTTGCAGTTCATCAAAAGTTAAACACAAAATTTCCATATGGTCTAGCAATGCTACTCCTAGGTGTATCTCTAAGAGAAATAAAAACATTTGTCCACATAAACGCTTGCACACAGATGGTGATAGCCATATTGTTTATAATAGCCCCAATGTAGCACAATCTTAATGTACCACAACTGATTTATTGATAAATGCATGTGGTACATCCATACAGTGACATATTATTCAGCAATAAAAAAAGGAACAAACTACTGGTACATGT